>NW_003315907.2:0-183290 GCF_000001405.40 Homo sapiens | reverse complement strand
AAAAAAAAAAAAAGTAAAAGTGATCCTGTGGAAAAGTTTTTCCTTTTGAAAATATTTGCTGAAAATGCACACATAATGTAGGCATGCAGATATGGATGAGACAACTTGAAAAGATTAGGAGAAAATAATCATTAAAGCCTTAAAAGATTTAGTGCCCAGATTGTTTTACAATTGTCTTTAAATCCAGACACCTTATTAAAGAAAATGAACCTGGCACTTACATATGAGGCAATAGAGGTATAGTTTATGAAAGCAATAATACGTGAAACCCCAATCTGCAAATCGTATCGGGGGGAAAGCCTTATTCTAAGTCAACAGATTAGCTTTTCACTTCAAATAAAAATTTTAGATACATATAAATGATACTTTGTGGTTCTTCTCTGTGACCAATATTCTGATTTGTCCAATTGCTACTGGATCGAATCAAATCAAGTATGATGGATTTTATTGTATTATCTTAGGACAATACTCACCACAAACACTGAATAATATAAAATGCATGTTTAAATTATTTTAACTTAATCCCAAAACCTACAGTTATAGTCTATTTCTATCATGATTACTACTACTAAAATTACTAATTGTTTAGTCACCATAGTAAGATCTTCCTGGAACTTCAACCTACAGCATTACTTAAGAGCAGCACAATGCCCAAAAGAAATCTTTTTATTCCAGTCACCTGAGACCTTGGGGGAAAAAAATCCTTAGTCCACCATCTATGCACAAAGCTAGGGAATCTCTTTCCTAACAAAAGATTAACACGTTTTCTCCAAGCAGATAACTGAATCACTAGAAACAAATAAAGAAAAAGACCTGAAACAAAGTACTGCAGGTACAAAGAGCAAAGATCTTGTTACTTAAAAGAAAAACTCAGTAAACATGTCAATGTTTCTTGGAAGATTAGGGAAACCAACATTCTTAAAAGGTCTCTTATTCATTATTTATAAGTAGATGCAACACCTCATTTATACCTCCTTATCTCATACAGAAGAGCTAAGATTGGCAGAAATGGTAAGTTCTCAATTTATGCACATTGGTTTAACTTGTTTTTCTAGATTCCACCTTGGGCTTTCCTTGGGACCCAGCTATCCAGCCCAATAAAGCCAGTTTGAAACAGCTGCATTTGGAACTTGCTGTTGACACAATAATCTGAGTTATATGTTAATTTCTAAAAGAATAAATGAACCCATTACTTCCCAGATTTCACAGAAGCCACTTGCTTGGAGCAGACTACCATGACAAGCCAGTCTCAGGGGATCCACCAGCTTCTTCAGGCAGAAAAACGGGCCAAGGACAAGCTAGAGGAAGCCAAGAAGAGTAAGTCTCACCTGTGAGGGGTCTGTCACGAAATAAACAAAGCAGTGGAATGCAGGGATAAGCATAGACTTTTGGATTAGGCAGACCTTGTTTCAAACTTTGGTTTACTGTACTCCCTGTGAGACCTTCACCCATTCATTAAAATTACCCAGCCATATGTTCCTTATTTCTAGAGCAGGGATGAAGTTTCCTCATTCAGATCCTTTTGAGAGGTCATGTGTTCATGGACATTAAGATTATAGAGATGTGGGCTTAAGCCTTGGCTATGCCATGCCTGTTTTCTCAACATTGTTAGGGGGTAGAAAACCTCTGGATTGAATCTACTTATTAGTGAGTAAACCTGAGCAAATTACTTATTTTTTATAAGCATCAGTTTTCATTTCCATAAAATCAGAATAATAATGGCTCATTCTCATCCCTCTCTTGGTAGCTTTTTAACATCTAATATTTTAAAATATTTTCATTTTATTCTCATTTTCTACCTCTCTTTTTATTTTTATTAATTTATTTTTTAAGAGATGAGGGTCTCACTATGTTGCCCTGGCTGAACTCCAACTCCTGGACTCAAGAGATCCTGCTGCCTCAGCCTGCCAAGTAGCTGGGACTACAGGCACTTGCCACTGTACTCAGCTCTCTTTTCATTTGGTCATGCATTCATGTACTTACATATAGAATGTCCTCAATGAACTTCAACACCTTTTCTATTCTCTTTGATACAACAGCCAAATGAATAGGATATTAACATTATTCCCAATGTATGCAGAAATGGAGTCACTGATTTGTTCAAGGTTATATTTTAAAAATAGAAAATATTGTGCCAGGCACCATGCTCATTGCTTATCTTTATTCCTCACAACCTTTACTGAAAAAGCAAAAGTGATGCTTAGAGAAATTATACAACTTGTCTAAGGTCACACAGAGGGTAAATGGTAGAGACAAGATTTAGATGAGCTATAATTTCCAAGCCCAGATCTTAACCACTGTGCTTTACAAAATTTACACAATTTGCATAATAAAAAAATTAATATGTCTCAGATCTACAACTGGAATTCAGATTCCCAAGGCCAAGACATTTTTTTCACTATCCCATTTCATATCACCTCATTATTCAATCTACAATAATTTGTAGTGTCATTCACTCTCCTTGTGTGTCCTGCCTCTGCAATTAGATTCAGTCTGGCAAAACAGGGGCCATATTTTCAAAATGTTACTTATGTAACTCTTTGGATGAATGTAGTGATGGGATTGGAGTAGGTACTGAATTATTTAAACGTAATGAATGAAATGAAGGAATATATTACAACATAAGAAAGTCAGTCAGAAATAAGGCAGGTACACTAAAGTTTTCAACCACAGGTAAAATCATTTCCTTTTCTTAAGATAAATAGATTTCCTGAACACTCAGCAATGTGGGCATCAACAACATAAAAGGAATGACTCCAGGTGGAGATGATAGAAGAGGAAAGGAAGAAGAAAGATAGTGAAGGCAAACTTTACCTATTTCTCAATTTCTTTTTCTACAACGAAGTGTGGAAATAGTTGCAAGATGATATGAATGTAGAGTAGTTTTATAGAAAACAAAGCAGTTCAGGACCTGTGGTTGAAGCGGCATAGAGAATTTTCCCTTTTTAAAAATTTCAGGGTTTTCTTTTCTTCTTCTTCTTTTTTTTTTTTTTTGAGACAGGGTCTGCTTCTGTTCCCAGGCTGAAATGCAGATGATCTGGGCTCCTTGCCACCTCCATCTCTCAGGCTCAAGCCATACCTCAGCCTCTAGAGTAGCTGGGACCACAGACACACGCCACCACACCCGGCCAATTTTTGTATTTTTGTAGAGACGGGGTTTCGCCATGTTGTTCAGCTGGTCTCAAACTCCTGAGCTCAAGAGATCCACCTGCCTCTGCCTCCCAAATTACTGCAATTACAGGAGTGAGCTACTGTGCCAGGCCTTTTTAAAAACTTCTTTAACAATATTTAAAACTTTCAGAACAGAAGACCAGATAATTTAAAGATGTGATAGTTATGTTGCCTTTGCTTTCTCATTATGGAGGATACAAAATGAAATATTGAGTATAGATTAATCAATATTATTGTATGACTCAAATAATTTTTACCAACTATTTCTCCTTTTTTCGAGTCATTAAAGAATAAAAGAATTGCTATACATGCAAGCTGTTTTGGGGTGGGAGCCGCTAAGGGCAACCTGGCTTCAAATTTCAGAATAAAGATAAAAGTCCAATTTCTTTTGCTTTTCTCTAGTGAATATGCTGTCCTTGGGCAATCTTTCCTCAGAATTCAGTATTGAAAAGTACATACTGTCTTATTTCTATACAAAAATGTTCATTTCATTTGCCAGTAACTTAAAATACCTGCATATTTTTTTCTTAATCTACCATGTCTTTGTTCATGAATATTCAAGGGGATATTCAACCAGTAATAGTAAATACCCAGGCTTTAAAGACATTCTGGAAAATATTTTGACTTTCAACAACTAACCTCTGCACTCAGTTTTATGGAGAATGTCAGCCTGTCCTCTTTGCCTCAGAAGCCACAGGCGTTGAGGTCAGTTTTAACTGGATAGAAACTGTTTTCTTAAAGCTATCAGCAGGTATTAAAGTTTATAGTTACAACAGCTTACTCACATAAGCGATCTATGGCAAAATAGAAATATTACCTTATATACCAGTATGTTATAACTTCCCTAATGTTTCAGTGGTTTTTGTTTCATTTATTTAATTCAATAAGTGTTTATTGGGTATCTACTAATTCCAGGCCACTTTGATGTTTACACTGATAAATAAGACCTAGTTCTTCCTTAAAGAACTTCCCAGTGAGATAAATGCACAAATGACTATTTTAAAAAGGGAAAGGAGGCATGATGACAGGAGAGGTAAAGATAGTTATCATTTTAGTAAACCCATATACTTTTGCTTTATTTTT
This sequence comes from Homo sapiens, assembly GCF_000001405.40. NCBI lineage: Eukaryota > Metazoa > Chordata > Mammalia > Primates > Hominidae > Homo > Homo sapiens. Next base: position 179,036 of record NW_003315907.2, on the reverse strand, counting down.
TCATACAAAGATTCATTTGAAATTCTGACATATTAAGGCAGAATGATATTCAGAATGAGGACCAAGAAGTCACAATAGTGAACACCATTGTAGAAGGTCTATGGTCATTTTCTCTTTCTTAAATCCATTTATTTGCAAGACTCTCAGAAACTTGGGCATAAAGTGCTAGAACAAGACTCTTGAGTGTATTATTTTTAAGAAAAAGAAAGACAGGAAGAAGGAAGGGCGAGAAAGAGGGAAAGAGAAAGAAAACAGCAATTCACATGTTAATCATTTCAGGAAAATACAAGATTAATATGGTTATTTTTATATTATGCTGAAAAAATATTAATATATTCCATTAAGGAGAACAGCCTCAGATCCTGGTGCAGTTGCTACATGATACAGTATATGGTCTAAGTGTTTTGCCTTTAGGGATACTGATAAGGGATTATGAACCTGATGTATCAAGAACTCTCCAGAAGGCCACGCGGTCTATAGAAATTGAATATGCAAGTCTCTGCTCTCAAGACATCCACCAGCTACTGAGAGAGATGAAATCTGACAGGGACATGGGCAGGAATGTGGACAGGCTTCGGAAGTCAGACTGGGAAGTAGTAGAGTATAAAAGCATTGGCTTGAGTTGAAAACCTACAATTCTTAATGTCATTTAACATCTCCAAGTTTCAGACTTTCTTTCTGTAAATAAAAATAGAAGTTATAATACACGCACACACACACACATATGACCAAGAGGTTGTAAGAATCAGAAAAATATGTGTAAGATAGTAAAGCAAAATACACACTAGAGTTATTTTTATTTTTAATATATGTCATGTATTTTTGTATGTTACTGTAAGTAATAATGATAGAAGAATGATATAGACTAGAATGATCTCATTCCATTTGTTTTTACCCCTGCTGTAAGTTCTGCATCTACTTTTCCTAAAACGAAGAGACTGGGACTGCTTCTGGTAAGATGACTAGAAATGTTCAGATACTTTCCTGTATTCACTGATTACAGGTTATATTTATTAGTTAAAGCTCTCACTCATTTTTATGTGCAAAACTGCCTTACTATTTTGGTTGAATTTAGATGAAATCACAGTAGTTTGCACTACTTTAAATTATCTTACCTAGATTCAATGCTCTTTACTTAATAAATTGTTCATTAATCAAAACATAAAAGTGGGTGTGTTGGTCCAAGACAAGTTACCTAAACATCAGAGATCTGCCATGGAGCTCCAGGTTTGGGGTATTGAACTGAAACTTCAATCAGAATTAGATTAGAAATTCAAAGTACCATTATCAACAGGAGGAACAGAGACTTGTGTTTCTCTGAAATATGTTGCATTTTTACTTTTAGTCATGACCTTTTTTAAGAGAAGTATTTACTTCACTTACACCCATTGCAAACTTTTAAAACCCTATAGCTCTGCATTAACATTGTTCTGAAATACTCAAATGCATGCAATTCAACATCACATAAAGAACTCATATTCCCAAATCATTTCTGAACATACATGGCATACTCTCCTAGAAATAAACACTCAATTTATTTACTTTGGAAGCTGCAGAAAGTAGCATTTGTGCTTAACTAAAAATTACAAATTGCATTACAGGATATAGATTGAAAGAAATAGCAAAAAAAAATGTAAATTTTCTAATCTGGATATGAGAAAAATGGAACAAATAGCTATATTAAAAATGTCTAAAAGCTACAGACAATTGTAATACAAGTGAAGAACACACTGCTCTAGCTTTCTCCCAAAATAGTATGGTCAGTACTCACCCCCTACAGCTGCTCTGCCTGGATGCCAGTCTAACTTCTGCTTCTTATTAGCTGTGTGACCTTGGGTGGGTTACCTCTTAACCTTGCTGTGCCTGTTTCCTCAGCCTCAAAATGGAGATACTAACAGTACCTACCTCATGGAGTTGTCATGATTAACTGAGTTAACTCTTATAAAAGACTTAAAACACCACTTGGCATATAGAAGGTGCTCAAGAAATTTTAGCTGTTAATATTATTTTAATATCCAATAAAAAGAATTTTGTTGCAAAAACAGCAAAAAAGTCCTGGAGATTTCTTAAGCATGGTCCACTATGAGGCAAAATACATACTTAAGAAAATATTTCTGCATTCTAGATAATACATCAGATAATACTGTAATTCAGATTTATTTTTGTGAGTCTATAGGATGCCAACCATCAATAATTTTTTTAAATCAGCAAATTTCCTATTTGCTTCCAAATATGCATATATTCTGAATTATTTAAACAAGCACCTCAATTTAATAAATTCTTCACTATGCAAGTGGATGTTTTTGTTCATAAAGACAAGACTTTTAATAAACTAATAAAATAAAAGTTGTTATATAAGAATTTCATGGCCCTGTCTTGCATGTTTTGTAGGCTTGTAAATACTTCCTCTTCCTTTATAGTCCACAGACTAACAGGGTATTTGTAAGTGTATTGGGCTTTCATTTCTTCAGGTGGGTAATATTAAAATAATAACCACAGAGCATTTTCATCTATTAATAGCATTTGGTTATATTCAGTCCAGGAGCTACACAAAACTATTTATTGTATTTTTAATAAGGAAAATACAAGTAGAAGAAAAGCAAAAGAAAACATTCAGGAAGCAGAGATCTGACAGGAAATAAATTTAGTGTAAGAGAAGCTCTAGCAGTGACAGTCACCAAAGGAGAGGCTGCCTCTTTGTTTTTCTGGTGACATTTCTTTCCCAATGTTTGTAGTCACTGGGAAAAATAATAGCATTCTTTGAATCAGGTTGGTTTTATCACAATATTGACAATCGCCCAAAGCCAAGAAGTTTTGTTTGGTTTGGTTTTGCTTTGTTTTCTGAGTGGTAGAATAGATCAAAAGTTGTTATTACTAACAGAAATCTTCAAACATTACCAAAGTACCCTTTGTTTATACAGCAAATAAAAATGGCTTCTGAACTGTTTATGCATATTTTTGTCAGGTGGCACATTCATTTCAATACCTACTATTTTCACCACACTAGGGTATCTGGCTTTGTCTCCAATGCTCAACTAGCATTGTTTTCTCTATGCTCCTTGCTGATTCTCTGCATTTGTTTCCTAGAGACGCTGTAACAAATTACCATATACTAGGTGGCTTTAAACAGAAATTGATTATCTCACCATTCTGGAGGCCAGAAGTCCAAACAGAAGGTGCCAGCAGGGTTGGATCCTTCTGGAAGCACCGAGGGAGAAACCCCCATGCCTCCTTCCTGGTCACTGGTGGTAGCCAGCCATCCTTGGCACTCCTTGTCTCGCAGCTGCATCATTTTAATGTATACCTCCATCAATACATGGCCTTCCTCCCTGTGTGTCTGCTCTGACTCTGTGCCTCTGTATTCAAATTTCCCTTATAAGAGAACCAGTTGTTGGATTTAGGACCTGTCTTAATCCCTTATACCTCATTTTAACCTGATTACATCTGCAAAGACCCTATTTCCAAGTAAGGTTACATCAGAGGTACCAGGAGTTAGGACTCCAACATATGTTTTCGGGGGGCACAATTAAATCCTCTAGCTGTCAAATCCACTTGACCACCTTGAGCCCTTATTTTATTTTCTTTGTTCCCCTTTGTTGGTTAAAACTTCTCAGAGAAGTTGCCTATGTTCCCTGTGTCTACAATGTTTCATTCCATTTTCTATTGAACACTTCTTCCTATAACTCCACCAATAGTTCCTCTTGCCCAGATCACCAGTCTTGCTAAACCCAATATTAATTCAATATCTCATTCATAATTAGATCCCTCTTTCCTCTTTGAAACTCTTTCTTCATTTGACTTTGGAACACTACTCTCATGGTTGGCTTCCTGTTGTCTTCTCAATCCTTAAAGTCGGACCCCAATTTGGACCTGTTCTCTTGGTTATCAGCAGATACTTCTGAGGTGCTCTCATCTGATCTCATGGCTTTACAGACCAGCTTCAAGTTGATGACTCCCAAACTTGATATTCCCAGCACTCGTTGCTTCCCTGATCTCTAAGTTCATATAAACACCAGCTGTCTCAGCATCACTATTGGATGTTGAATAGGCATATCAACGAAATTGCAGTATTGACTCCATCCCCAAAATAAAATGTTGGTGCCATCATTGACTCATATCTGTCTCTCATGCTCATGTATCAATTCCACCTCCAAAATATATCTACCCTCTTCTTGCTAACTCCACTACTACTTTACCATTTCCAGCAATTATTAAATTTGCCTGAACAATTGCAACAAATTTCAGACTGATCTTCTTGATTCTCCTTTACCCCTATAGTGTATTTTCTATTTTCACCACACCAGCCAAAGAAATTTTTTTTTTTTTTTTTTAGACAGAGTCTCACTCTGTTGCTAGGCTGGAATACAATGGCGTGATCTTGGCTCACTGAGCCTCTGCCTCCTGGGTTCAAGCGATTCTCCTGCCTCAGCCTCCCAAATAGCTGGAACTACAGGCACGCACCACCATGTCCACCTAATTTTTGTATTTTTAGTAGAGACCGGGTTTCACCATGTTGGCCAGGATAGTCTCGATCTCTTGACCTCATGATCCACCTGCCTCAGCCTCCCAAAGTGCTGCAATTACAGGCATGAGCCACCGTGCCTAGCCAAGAAATCCTTTTAAATTACAAGTAGTATTATGTCATGCCTTGGCTAAGAACCCTTCATGAATTTAGTATTCCAAAGACCAAAATTCTTACCGTGCCCTGTGAGATCAATATGACCTGGTCGTGCTACTATCTTTCTAATACCATCTCCTAACATTCATGATTGAATATCCTGTTCTCTTTGCTCCAGCCATGATGGTGTTTTTGCTCTTCCTTCAGCATGGCAAATATCCTCCCACCTCAGGGCCTCTGCACTTGCTGTTCCCTCTGCCTGGAGGACCCTTCCCCCTGCCTGGAAGACTCTCCCCCTTCAGATATCTGCATGACTAGTTGCCTTATTCCTTTAGGCCTCTGTTCACATATTGTTTCATCTGAGAGGCCTGATCTGTCTAAAGTAGAATCCACCATCTTTCTTTACCCCTTATTCTCCTTTCTTCTTCACCATCATCCCTGTCATATTATATACTTATTGTCCATTTTCTATTTTTATCTCCCCAACTACATTCAGAACACAAACTCCATGAAACAAAAAGTTTGTGGCTTTCACTGCTATATCCATAGATCTACAATAGTGTGTGGCACAGAATAGACATCTAGTTATGTTGATTAAATATCTCTTATTTCAGTTCTCTGTGTCTTTTGATACTGCTGGCCATATCCTTCTTGGAATGTTCTCTTCTGTCTTTTGGTTTCTCCAACTTCTCTGACTACTACTGGCTCCTTCCAACCTTCCTCCTTCTTTTCTTAAAGGTTGAGTGTTAATATTCCCCCAAGCTGAGACCTTAGCCTTCTTTTCTCCTCATTCTGTATACTCTCCCTTGATTTCTGTCTAAATCCCATTGCTATAACTAGCATATATACAGGCCCCAATGACTAATATGCAAATCTCTGTCTTCATTTCAGACCTTCCTCCTGCATCCCAATTTTGTCTCCCCAGCTGTCGTCTGCATACCTCCAATTAAATATCCTCAGGAAAGCTTACAGAGGCTTCTCTAGTGACAGCCTGAGGACTTCTCCTCAAACTCACGCTTTACCCCTTGCCTTTTTTTTTCTCCTTGACTTCTTTTTTAGCAAAAGGCCCCTAGGAATTGGACCCGTTTTCCTAATAATTATTTAAAATAATTAAACAACTACTTTTGTCAATCATTTTATATACATTTTTTTCTAATCCCTCCAATAACTTTTTATGGTAGATTATTAAATCTGTCTTATAGATGAGAAAACTCAATAACCTGCTCAAAGTTACAAAGCTTCTAATGTTTTATTGCCATGATGCCTAGTGCATGATTCTGATTGCCTTAGATGATAAATGAAATCCTATCTTCTCCATTGGGAAAAGAGCCTAGAACAAATTTAGCAATCCAACAGAATTAGGTTTCTCTGTACCTCAAGAACTTATCGCATCTGGGGACAGTCAGTTCACCTGGCCTGTCCTAATGAGAAGGCCAGGAAGAGTCCATCTTCAAGCATTACCCTTTGTCTCCGACACAGAGTTGTTTTAACCTGCCCAAAATTGATTTTATTAATCCTTTTCCCACAAACCACCTGAAAATCAGTCCAAATGTCTTTTCTCCCCGCTTTTGGTCACAGCAGCCATGTTTTTAATGCATACAAAGAAATAAGTATAATTTTAGAATTGCCAAATTCTTACACACAGAGAGAAGCAAGTTAGAGGTTAATATGAGTGGATTTGAAGTGTGCATTTTGTTTCACCTCTAACAGAACAGTAGGCTTTAGGCTCCAGTTTTTTCCACTGGATTAAATCAGGTGGAGCATATGCAGGCTCTTACACAGCAGCAGCTGCTGAGTCTATCAAGAAAATTGCTGTGCCAGCAACGATTTCCCTGTGGCTCTCCCATTTAATTGAATGAGAACCAGCAGGTGACTGGTGCCATGACAAGGGAATCACAGACACGCTCTGAGCCTGTCACCGTGTGATGGAGCTAATATACAGCCTCTTAGTGGAGTGCTGAATTCCACTCAAGGGTAGGGCACACAGACCCTTTCCTATGATTTTTTTTTTAATGTGCTAGAGAGGCATAACTTTAAAACCACTATTTTTAGATATTATGCAATTAAGATGGAGAGTAGTGAGGCATGTGATTTATTTTGTAAAATAATTATGTATCCTACAACCCATTATTACTAAAAAAAATCAATACATTAACATTCTGTATTTTTGTTCTGATGTAAATGACAAACAGATAGAAGAAAGTGGGTTGGAGATCAAGGAATAGTTTTTCCTACCAACATATCATCGATTTATTCTGCTCACAGAGAATCTCTGTGAATAATATATATGTAGTTGTCACAAAATGGTTACAACTATAGAGAATGAAGGAATCAGTATATACAAAATGGTAATGAGCATTAATTAATATAAAGATAAGCATTGCTATTAATGTTCCATTAAGCCTCAAGCAACAGAAGAGCAGTAGTTTTCAGCAGATCTCAGATTTTAAAGAAAGTGTAGGCAGAGCTAAATATCTGTTCTGAATGAGGACTTCCCAGTTCCATTCAAGGGTGGTAGATATTAAAAGAGACACATTTCAGTTTGTAACTCAGTGACTCTATTTTTATCCCATATACATACAGAGACTAGTGAAGCAACTCATACTTAGAAGGGAAAGAAATTGAGAAACAATCTCTGTGCAAATGCTGCAAAGGTAGATACATGCATAGGTAAATGGGAGACAGATAAAAGTTTACACTAAGATTTTCTTTCATGCTACCTGAGAACACATTATTCTTTAGTTCAAAGTCTTTACAATATAACAAATGGTTGACAGAAATTGTAAACAATACTTAAGAAACATTATCAGAGGAAAAAAACTATAAAATGGGTAAAAGAATGGAGGCATTTTACTGAAATTGAAAGACAATAGATTCATAGAAAAAAAGAATTTTAATGTAGTTCAGAATTTCTTTAAAGTTTTAATGATCATGAAGCATTAGTAGCTAAGCCCCAAGGTGGTGGGTGGAGAGAGCAAAGCACCAATTAATATTTGTCTGTAACCCCCCCCAAACTTACTCTGGTTGTCAAAAAAAGTCATGTGCTCAGCTAATGATTACCACAGCATTGTATTCGTCTAAAACTTTCGTTTATGTTGTCTGCTAGCTTAAGGCTTACACCTTTGCTCTTAATAAAAGAAAAAAGGCTACTTAACTAAATCTCCTAATCATTAAAAACAATTGGTTTTATAGCCACTTTCAAGCAAGTTCCCCTCAGAGAAAGTTACAAAAAAAAAAAATTGCTTTGATGTATTGAGGCTTAATCAGACATTGTAGAGTCAACAAATGGTAAGGAAAAATCCCAATAAAACGTTTTTAAAAATTGTAAGTTAGTTTGATAGAGTCTGAGTTGCATGTTTGTAGTGATTTTGGAGATCTGCCAGTGTTAAATAGGATCCAGTTGGTGTGGACTGAAGGATTCTGGCAGCAAATCAAGACTGAAAATCTGACCAAATAATGTCTTTTTGAGTAAGTGACAGCTAAAATCTGTTCTCTGGCATTACTGCTGTGAGTAAATGGGCAGATATTTTATTTAAACATGTAAGTGCAAAAAAAAGTTGTCATTTACGTGTCCTAAAGAATCCAATAAAAAATAATAAAATTTTCAATATCTATTTTTTTAGCAAAGTTTGCCATTCTAGAAAAAATCATCAAAAATAAGGAAGAATGTATCTATTTTAAAAAAACTAAGTTTGCAGCTCCATATGCATACGTGTGTAACATATATGTACAGTTGTTAATATATATATCCTTGTTGAGATATATATAATAAATATTTATATATTGATATATATAATTATATATATATATATATATATTTGTTAATTTTCAGGAAAAGGAAAGCGATTGAAGCAAGCCAAGGAGGAAGCAATGGTAGAAATTGACCAGTACAGAATGCAGAGAGATAAAGAGTTTCGACTAAAACAATCTAAGGTGAGTAAGAAAGTCAGCACTGTTTCTTATGCAGAATAGATAAGATCTTCATATTTATAAGGTTTAATATAGGATATTGACAGAAAAAAATATGCTGCAATTGAGCAGATATAGTTCAATCAAGCTGAACATCAAGCAAAATCTTAAACATAATAATTACTGATTTTACATTTTCACTTTCAAGGCATTTTTAATTTCTCACATAAAGGGTCCATCAGTAGTTATTATGTAATATATAGTATATATTAAAAATCATATTCACAAATATACAAGCTGAAGGGATTGCTTAAAGTCTCATTCCTACCACTGATTATTGACTACATGTTTTAGTAAAATAACTTCAGAGAACATGTTTTTATATAAATATATATGGTTAGTTACATAAATAACTAATATTTCCAAGATTTACAAATGACCAAAGTAGATATTGTTGCAAATTTCTGAAAAGCCTTCTGGTATTTCCTGATGATTTCCTTTGCAACTGGCTGACTCATTCAATAAATCTTTCATTTAGAGATAAAGAAATGCTTTTTCCTACATTGGCACATTTTTAAATATCTGCAGTTTACTGTAAATTATAAATGCATGAAACCTTTGGAGCAGACACCCTCCTTTCCATGTTGCAACATGGGCTAAAAGAAAGTGCTTAACTCCATGTATTATAACTAAATTTTATATGATATTTTATTTTGGCCTCAATAAAAATATAAGTAAAGCTCTGTGCAGAAGCCTGACACTGCCAATAAATTATTAGCAATTTGGAAATCTTTATTTACAACTTCTATTTTAATGGTAATGGATAAGGAGTTCATGTAGGATCAGATAAATTGGACCACATAATAACAAAACCTTTTTCATCAAATAAAAAAGGTCCTTTCTAGAATTAAATGGACCACTCAGCAAACATAAAAATTTTTATCAATGTTTGCAAACAAGAAATCCTAAAGTCCTAAGTTCATACAACACTCCATGATTGGCCTTTGGCTATCTCTCTCACCACATTTTCTACCACCCTAGTCTCTATTAGTTCTGTTCTAGCCATATTGGTCTTTTGCTCTTCCTCAAGCAGCTAGAACATGCCCCTACCATGAGGCCTTCACATGTACCATTCTCACGCCCTACAATTCTTTTCTTTAGATATATTCATCTTTCTTTGATCTCTATTCAATTGTTAGCACCTTTTCCTGATCACTTTATCTAAAATTGTGTCTGTCATAAACACATACCTATTGTAGTCCACTCTTTTTCCTCATAGCACTTAGCATTATCTGATATATTTTATATTGTTTTTTGCATATTGCCTATCTTTCCTTCTGGGACTTTAAACACCAAAAGAATCATTTCTTTGTTTTGTTCTCTGTTTTCCTAGACATTAGAACAGTGCCTGCCACACAGTAGACATGCAATAAATATTTGTTGAAAGAATGAATAACATTTTTTTCTTTGATTTTCTTTCTTATTGAATCCTGTCATAACCATGATCTATTAGGACCTGAGAAAACAATCATCTTTAACATTATTCAGCTTTGATTATCTTATATAGGATATTTCTGATATAATTATTTCCGTTTTTTAAGTAATAACAAAACTAATCACAATTTCAGAAAGTGCTTGTGTTAAATCTCTTCAAATATCATTTCTCCAGAAGAATCTTATCAGATATATATATCTTGTTCAGGTTATTTGTTTTCTGCTTTGGTTAATAATTAAATAATCAAAACTCCTCATCTCTCTCATAATTAGCGCTCCAAGCCAATTTTACAGTTATTTGATCAAAAGCTCACATAGAAGGGTCAGCATATTTAAGCCTCAGCTACTTCGAGCATTTTGTAAAACCATTAGCACAGATCTTCTCTCCTTGGCATGACCTCCATATGTCAGGCATATTGCTATTCCACTTAAATCTTATCCTCATTAACCCAGGGCAATTAGGAGGTCTGGGAGGAGACCCAAGAAACCAGCCTCCTGTGTGCCGTGGGTGTTGTATCTTGATGTTACTTTTTGTTGCTTTTTAGCTCTTGTTAATATATGTGATTTTTCAAGTCCCCTGACTTATCAACGGAAGCAGGTATCCCAATGTGGGCTGTACGTTAGCAAATATTGCTTCATCAAAAATCTATTTATCCCTTCCTTAGTGCTACCCTATCTAAAGAAAATATTATATTGCTAAAAAGAAATCTGGACTACAGTAGAAAAATTAAATATGTTGTTAATACAAGTAAAAGTCAGATAGATCATGAATCTAAGTAGAAAACCTGAAAATGGTTGCCTTGGGCATATTGAAGACCTTTATATCTTTAGTCTTTCTTCCTGAATTTATATCCCAAGAGCATTTTGTTTGCTGGAGGCAATCACAAATTGAGAGCATAAAACTGTTTTTCTTGCGGTGATGGGACCTGAAGCTCTGCTTTACCTTAAACTGGAACATTTAAACAACTTGTAAAAAAACATATTGAATGTTTAAAGTTCTTCCATCACCATCAGTCATTATGCTGTAAAGCTATACATCAGTTTCAACACTGACATTTTGAAAATTAACATGGAGAAGTCCTCACATGTCACCCTTAGACCAAATGTATCATGACATGTTACAGAATTATCAACTACTAACTTATACATTCTCCCAAACATTCAGGTAACAGGTTTCCATCAACATGAGCAACAGAACACAGTAATGAGTTCTCTGTAATATCCAAGATATCTAATCATTCTACTCAATACAAATGTGTATTGAGCATCTACTAAGTGCCAGACAGTGTTCAAGGCATTTATAATACATCAAGGAACATGATTCTTGTCTTTGTGCCACTTACATTCATTCACTGAAACTCCTACATGGGTTAAATCAATACTCTGTCTGCAGATATCAAGATATGGAATTCTTCCCTAGGAAAACCATTTAAAATAGTGTATGACTAGTCATTGTTATAGTACTGCATAGGAAACACTGCAGAAACTCAAATCACTGGGCATCAAATAAATTCAGAAATAATATTTTGTTTAATTATGCAGGATGAGACGTGATTATGGGGTATTACAAGGGTATTACAATGTTTCTGAAAATACAGAACATATTGGAAAAATTTGAAAAGTACAAGTAAAACAATCAGTGAAAATTATAGTAATAATCACTAACATGTACTGATTACTTGTTCAGAGTTAAACTGAGCTAAGAGTCATCTTTATAAGTCTCTCTGGAAAATGATTATGGTGTCTTGAAAAGCCACATTAAGAATTCAACTAATATTAACAGCTGCCATTTATTGCTGCACTGTCCAAAATGGTGACCACTTCACATGTGGCTACTAAGCACTTGAAGTGTAGCTAGTCCCAATCAAGATGTGCTATAAGTGTAAACTACATACCAGATTCCAAAGACTTAGTATGAAATAAAAGAATGTAATAATTTTTATATTGATTGTATGTTAAAATATGAATATTATTAGATTAAATATATTACTAAAATAACTGCACCTACTTCTTTTACACTTTTGATGTGGCTTCTAGAAAACTTATAATTACCTATATATGAGTTGCCTTTGTGGCTCATATTACACTTTTGTTAGACACAACTGCTCTGCACACTTACCAATGAATCTGGTTTGCATTTTACAGTATCTTATCAAATGGATGATATTATCCCTATAAAAAAATAGAGAACCTAAGCTTGAGATTAACTTTTCCAAAGTCATTCACAACAGTTACACTAAACCAACCCAATGACAACTATTTTTAATGCTGTTCCAAAGAAAAGTAGGTAATAGTTTCACAACAGTTTGTTTTTAATTTTTTACCACTAGAAGACACTGAATTTAGAGAATTATTTTTTTAATTTGGTAGAATCACACTTAAGACACTAAATTTAGAGGAAAAATTTTGAGCTTGGTAGAGCCATTTTAATAAGTAGTTCTCTTCTATTTTAAAATTTCTTCTTAGCAAGGGAAATTCGATCCATATGTTTCTGCTTCTTGTATACTCACTTATCAAAATGTTATTCTGCAAAAGTTATTTGATGTCTTAGAAACTGTAACTTTTCAAAATTATTTTCTTTGAACTGAGAAGACCCCATTGCCTGGACTGTAAACAGAAAGAACTTGAACCCAAGCGCCTCAGTGGCATTTGATTTCAAGCCTAGGACTCAAAAAGATCATGCAGATTTTAGAATTTAGAATAGTCTAACAACCCTGAAGTAGAAGTCAATCATTACTGGAGTATCTTGGATTAAATTAAATGCATACTTTTCCTAAACACTCTCAGACGGAAAAAGCAAACAAACATAAAACAGTCTTCTTGCCTTTAAAATGCCATGTGTAGGAAAGACTAAGTTTACAAAGGAGATACGTTAGGAGTTGATTTTTTTTGCTTTAGTAAAGGCTAACTTTCAAAGTGTTTCACTGCAGAATTCCTTTAAATTGTTAACTCCTCTGGTGAAATTATATTTTGGTCAAATCATTCCTTGATAAAGAAGCTATGAGGAAAGAGGAGATAATAGAAAATACTGGGAATCACTGCCAATTAAAGAGCAATTAGAAAGATATATTAAACTGTGTCTACAATTATGATGTAACTAAATGAACAAGCACACTCAATTTTAAAGAAGTACAACTTACACTAAGTGTTCAAGATAATATCTATTACCCAAAGAAACACACTTCGGCAGCCAGGCGCTGTGACTCACACTTGTAATCCCAGCACTTTGGGAGGCTGAGGAAGGCGGATTACCAGGTCAGGAGTTTGAGACCAGCCTGGCCAACAAAGTGAAACCCGGTCTCTACTAAAAATACAAAAATTAGCAGGGTATCATGGCACACGCCTGTAGTCCCAGCTACTTGTGAGGCTGAGGTGGGAGAATCGCTTGAACCTGGGAGGCGAAGGTTGCAGTGAGCCAAGACTACGCTATTGCACTCCAGCCTGGGCGACACAGTGAGAACCCATCTAAAAAAAAAAAAAAAAAAATTGTGCATATAAAAGTATCTTAGAGCGCACATTGTGACTGTCTTCCTGATAAAAGCAAGATACAGTTCAGATAATGTATTTTAAAAATAGAAAAACACTCTTTAAAAACCAGCAACTGTTTAAAACTTTTAAACACTCTTTAAAAAACAGCAAAAGTGGGTTTAATGGTGTCTTTCAACTCTGTTTTCCAGACTTATAATTCAGAAAATAAACAATAGGGAATATATGGGAACTAAATGGAAACTGTCATAAATACATGAAAAATGTGATGGAAAAGAACTTCTGGGCATGGTTTAATGATTATAAATGTGTATTCAATTTGTACCATGTGGAGGTTGGTTAAAAGTGAAAGTAATCTGCTATGACCAGTTTCAATATTTTATGAAAGTTCATCCTTCCCACTCATGGCATTGATGATCTTGTTGGTTCTCTGAAAAAATCTAGAAAAGGAGTACATAATTGTGCATTGTAGGACAATCATCAGTAAACAGGCTAGGACAAATTTAACTTGTAAAACAATTGTATTATGATGTGAATTCTGTCTGTTTTGTTTTGGTAGATAATGGGCTCTCAGAATAATCTCTCAGATGAAATAGAAGAACAAACACTAGGGAAGATACAAGAACTTAATGGACACTACAATAAGTATATGGAAAGTGTGATGAACCAGCTCTTGAGCATGGTCTGTGACATGAAACCAGAAATCCATGTGAACTACAGAGCCACCAACTAAATGTACATCACAGTTTTCAAGAAAAAAAAAGGTGTGTGAGTGCCACCTGGTTGCTTATGGCTTCGTATTTTTATGTTGAGAAATTTGAAATGAGAACCTTAAATTTACATTTACAGGAAATGTGACATAACTCATACATCGGCACTGAATTAAACAAAACAAAATACAACTGTTGCTATATCTTTTCTAGTAATAATTATGACCTTGTCACTTAACTTGGAGTAAGTCAAGAATGCAAAATAGTAACATGTTTTTTAACACTTGAAAGAAAAACATGGTCATGACAGCTTTTTAGTGGGCATGGGTTTTTTATTTCTTCTCCTTTTCATCGATTTAGAAAATGTGCTCTTAATTGTATTAAATGGTAATTTGCTAAAAGATAATCTTTAAGCAAGATATAATTATGACTCTTCAACAGATCTAAAAATGAACATGTCAAGGGTCTTATTTAATTCAGTAATCAATGGGAAACCAGTAAAACAGAGAGATAGAGACAAAGAATGATGGGTTATATAGCCACTTTTAAACATAGATGGGGTTTATAATCATTCTGTCTGTCTGACCTCAACTAAACAGATATTATTTTTAAAAGAAAAAAGTAAATGATAAATAAGCTAATAACATAGATTTTGGAGCTTTGAAAAAAAAAAAAAAGAAATACAAAGAAAACTCCCAGGAGATATACTAGGTTAGTGTGCCACTAGCCCAGTCTCCTAGTTACAGCTAAGCTAAACTCTTGTTAAATACTAAGTATTTTGTTAGTGCAATGTATATATCATCTCAATCCTACCTTGTAAGCAGTATTAGTGCTCTTGTTTTACAAAATGAGATGCAAAGATGAAGGAACTTATCTGGAGTTGTTTGGATAACAGTGGCAGCACTGAGCTTTGAACTGGGCAATGTGACTCCAATGTTCACACCCTTTACTTCTTACCAAACTGCTTACCTGCACAGCTCCTATATTTGCATTAGTAAGAAGCATGGGTGCTATAAAGTCTTTGATTTTCCAGTAATATATGCAGACAAATTTTAATTCCAGTCTAAACAAAAGTTAATTATTGTCACCAAACTATTCATATAATCTTCAATTATATGAATCTCTGATTATATGTATAGTTTGGTAACAATAATTAACTTTTGTTTAGACTGGAATTAAAATCATAAACTGAAATGGTTTTAATTGATCATTGTTTTAGATCAGTGGTCCCCAACCTTTTTAGCACCAGGGACCAGTTTCGTGGAAGACAATTTTTCCAAGAATGGAGGGGTAGTGGGGTAAGATAGTTTTGGGATGAAATTGTTCCACCTCAGATCATCAGGCATTAGAGTCTCATAAGGGACATGCAACCTAAATCCCTCACATGTGCAGTTCACAATAGGATTCGCGCTCCTATGATAATCTAATGCCGCTGCTGATTTGACAGGAGGCCATGCTCAGGTGGTAATGCTTGCTCAACTACCACTCACCTTCTGCTGTGTGGCCCGGTTCCTAACAAGCCACAGACAGGTACCAGTCTGTGGCCCAGGCACTGGGGACCCCTGTTTTAGATCACTAGTATCATTGTTTCTTTTTAGGAGAAAAAGTTAAAATTTTACCACATATCTTAGTACCTCGGAAATAGTCAATTTTATATGCATGTTAGGTAAATGGAGCAAAATTTGAATTCTATTTGTTTCTCCATTTTCCCAACTTTGGGGGCAAGGAAAACCAAACCAGTTGATTGGTTTTATGTGGTATATTTCCCCATTTATTAGAATGAGAACTGATTGCCAATTAAAGAAGAGAAAGATATCAAATATTCCTAGGAACACTGGCTCCCATTTTTTGAGGGGGGTGGAGGAGAAGGCATCAATTAAAGTTGTGTCTCCCTGACATTAGGACAGTGTTGGAGGATTTCTACTCAACACAGATTTGGAGAATTCAATTACTCTATTCTGCAAAGCTTAGATAAATAAAATAATGAGTAAAATTGCACATTTTGGGAGTTATCACGTGAAAAGATAATTCTGAAAAAGATAGCATTGTGATTTGCCTTATATCATAAGATGCAGTTTTCTGTCTTGTCTCATGAAAACCATCAAGACGCCAGTTTTCTGGATGTGAAAGCTTGAATATGTTATATGGAACACTCAAGTTAATAATAAATTCCTGAGCCAGCACAAGAGAAAGGATATCTTTTAGGCCCTAAATACTATAGAAACACATTAAAGTCAGTAGAGGATTTTTCTCAGAAGTAAAGAGGAGCCAGGTCTAGAAGAAAGAGATGAGACTTAGGCATCAGCACACTGTACATCCAGTCCTGCCAGCGCCACAAGCTTTCTATGTCCTATTGGCAACTCACTCAACCTCTCTGGGCCTACGATTCTTTTTTAGTGCTGTAATCTGAAAATGGTGTTGAAATAAATGATCTCTGTAGGCCCTTTAACACTTATTTTTACATACTAAGTCAGACCAATTTTTCAAAAGCAGTATTTATTACTTTTAGTTTTTTCATTCACTACTGTAGTATTTGTCAATTTCTCAACAATCTCACGTTTATTCTAAACACTGTATTGTTAAGAGTATGTGCTGTTGCTGCCCCCAATATCCTAGATTCTGTGTAGTTTGCATATTTTTACATTCAAATATGGTTTCACATCTTTGCCTAACTGAATGAGTCATTTTCTAAGAACTCTCACACCTTCACAGATGGTAGAGCTGCCAGGTTTTACTTTATTTACATATGAAAAGGTTTTATGTATTTCAGAGCTAGCTCACTTATCTGTGAGAGCTTTCTCAGTCACAGAAAAAAAGTTGACTTTTTTGTACGTATACTTATACTAAAAGGCTTTTTCTGTTCCGATAGATCTTCACACAGAAATAGAATAGTGTTAGCATGTTTTTAATTGGTCTTTACCCTTGTTTTGATCCTTTGCACAATCAGAAACTACAAAATGAAAAATTATTCCATTGAGTTCTTACTCATTTCCATTGCACTTAAAAACAAAACCATGCAATTTACAGGCTTGCAAAGGAATGCAAGGATTTCGGTTTTTATTCTCGATGTTAGCACACAAATACACACAAAGTCAGGAATTGTCATCAATGCATCACAGCCATTACTTTCTAGATGGATAGAGCTAGTAGAAGAGAGTTGGCCAGAGTGTGCAGAAAGCTGCCACCTTTGAAATATCCCAGCTGAGGCCATTCTAGGTCTAGCCAACCCCCAACATGTCAGAGTCCAGCCTAAATCAGCACAGCCACATTACCTGCCACCGACCATGAATGCAGGCATGAGCAAAGAGGACATCGTATGAGCCACCCGGAAAACTCATAGACTCATGAGCAATAATAAACATTTTAAGCCACTGAGTTTTAGGGTGATGCGTTATGAAGCAATAGCTAACTGCTATACCGATTGAATATTGCCTTAAAAAGGAGAGGGTGACCAACTGTCTTGAATGCTGCTTAGTGTTCAAGTAAAATAGGACAGAGATGTGACTGTTAGATTTACATATGTGGAGGAGGAGTTTGAGGAGAGAAAGTGTGGTGAGAAAGCTAGAGATAGCAGTTATAGATAACTACAAAACTATAAAAATGATCAGAGAAATGGGGCTGCAGCTTGAGACAGATGTGTGTCAAGCACGTGTTTCTTGTCTGGACTAGGAAATGTTATCGCATATTCATATGCTGATTGAAATTCCTCTAGAGGAGAAAGAATCTCTATGACGAATAGAGAGGGGAACTATTGCAGAAGCAAAGTCCTTGAGAAGGCAGGAAGCCTAGAATTCAGATCCGAAGTAGAAGAATTGGCCTTCAACAGGAAGATGACCATGGGCATGGATTGACAAACATAGTAGGTAAGTAGATCTAGTGGTAGGAAGATGAGAAAGTTCCTATTTACCACTAATTTCAAACTAAATTCGAGGACAATGATCAGCTGAGAATGAGGAGTAATTTTAGGGGACTTATCAAACACGAGAAAGGGTAAAATGGTCATTTTAGAAAGTAAGAAGATTACTATGCTAGGAAAGTGTAATAGGATTATCAAGCAGCACTGTATGTCTAAATGAGGCTTATTGTCATAGTTTTAAAATGAGATTAAGTCAGTTGTGTGTTTTCCTCTGGTCATGGTGAGTTGCTCAACTGCAGGAAGAGAGTAGGCAGGTAGTCTGATTTCACCTCTAAATTCATCATCAAAGACTTGAGATTAGCTCCCTTGTCCTGTGTCTTTTAACTCTAAAGTTGAACTGAAATAATTCTTCTTGAAAGACTACTGTGTCCCTAAACTTAAAGAAAAGAAAATTATTGGAAATAAACCACTTAAAAGAAAGATAGAAATCTAAGCATAGAGCTCATTACAAAAATAATGATTCCATTTTATCAACTTGAAGAAATATAACTGTGATAACTGCATGCTTCTCCTATTTCCTGTTCTTCCATCTCAGCTCTCTTGGGACTGCCTAATATTGGCAATGCAAGGAGTTACTAGTGTAGTGAGTTTGCTTACTTCCAAGAGTCACCTGAAAAAGCTACTTATCAATGACATAAATGACTGGAGGACCTTATGTCCCGTGCAATGTTAACTATTCATTTACTCACTCACTTATTCAGCCATAATTATTGAATTATGTGATAACATACATTTGAGATTGGTAGTAGAAATACAGACATGGCTATTACCAAAAGTGACAAGTCCTGTATTCTTACTCCTACCACTTCCAGTGACCCAGCTCCTCAAGTCCAGTTTAAGATAAGGTACATTTTGAGTGAACTGGGGTTCTCTGTGCCATCTAATAAACTAAACTCCTGCAATAGGTATTGTGAACATAAAGAATATTTAATACTGTGTAGTTTAACACAGTAATTAAGATCACCATCCCTCAGACTAGACTATTTGGATTCATATATAAGTAGCAAATATAAGTGTCTATAATAATGGTAATTATTATTATAGTTGAAAAAAACTAAACCAAATAGGCTGACATAAAGACAAAATGAGTGTGGAAGGAGGTTACGAGGGAGAGAATGCCAGAAAAATCACTGTAACTTCTTTTGCAGACAGTTTAAATAGACCATTATGAAATTCCCTTATTTTTAAACTAGAGTAACTAAACTGTTTCTTCATGTTCAGTTAAGTAGAATCCAATGGAACAGAAGTTTCACTGAGCCTGTTTTATCATGCTAGCACTTCCACTGAAAAAGTATCTGTAACTGTTAACTTGTTATCATTTTTATTAATGTGTAATCAATTAATAAGAACATATGTGTTCCACAGACAAATCCCAAAGATATTTAAATAGAGATAACAGTGAATATGAGAGCCTTGCCAATATTCTGAAGACCTGTTTCCTAGTGGAATTCACAGTTTGTAGTCACAGTTCAGAAAGATGCTTTCCTAAGCAAAAATGTAAATATATCCAAACACTCCAAATAAAACCACAAGCACTGAATGTTATATACATTTACATCTACAAAGGAAGCAAGAAGCTTTTCATGGTGACAAACTAGAATCAGCAAGGTTTAATAGAGCTGTGATTTTGCTGATTGAAACTTGTATAGACCACTGCTCATGAAAAGACTTTCAAAATTGTGTGTGACCACACAGAAAGTAAAGAGGGACCAGCAGGCAGTGAATATAAACCAACACAACACCAGCCATGAAATGAGTAAATGTGTCTAGTAAAAATGAACAAACACCACTCCCATTAAGTCAAGTTAAGGGCTTGCTAATAATGGTGAGAAAGTTGAAACAACAGTGTTAGCAGCAGCATTCAAAAATAAAATAATAATATTAAGGCTGATTTTTACAATATGCTAATTCCCTTTGCCTGAAGTTTCCTTTCTTCCTTCTCTGCCTGACAAACCCTACTAGTTTTTTAAGGCAGGTGTGATGGTTAACTTGAGTGTCAACTTGACTGGATTGAGGAATCCAAGTATTGATCCTGGGTGTGTCTGTGAGGGTGTTGCCAAAAGAGATTAACATTTGAGTCAGTGGGCTGGGGAAGGCAGACCCACCCTTAATCTGGTGGGCACCATCTAATCAGCTGCCAGAAAATATGAAGCAGGCAGAAAAAACGTGAAAAGGACAGACGGGCCTATCCTGCCAGCCTACATCTTTCTCCCGTGCTGGATACTTCTTGCCCTGGAACATCGGACTCCACATTCTTCAGTTTTGGGACTCAAATTGGCTCTCCTTGCTCCTCAGCTTGCCGACAGCCTATTGTGGGAACTTGTGATCATGTAAGTTAATACTTAATAAACTCTCTCTCTATATATATATAATGAGTATATATATACTATTAGTGTATATATCTATACTATGAGTATATATATACTATTAGTGTATATATCTATACTATGAGTATATATATACTATTAGTGTATATATCTATACTATGAGTATATATATACTATTAGTGTGTATATATATATATACTATCAGTGTATGTAAATATACTAATAGCTCTTGTGATCATGTAAGTTAATACTTAATAAACTCCCATATATATACAATATACTATTAGTATATATACATATATGAATAGTACTTGTGATCGTGTAAGTTAATAAACTTGTGATCGTGTAAGTTAATATTTAAACTCCAATATGTGTGTGTGTGTGTGTGTGTGTGTGTATACACACACAACTAGTTCTGTCCCTCTAAAAGAACCCTAACTAATATAGTGGGGTATAAGGGCTTGTCTAAGGGGTATAAGTGCTTGTGAAGTCATATCCAACTCCCTAGGAAACCTGGCCATTTCCTCCTGCGTGATTTTAGAGCCCTGTTGTAGCCCCTATCATGTTGCGTGGCTTTTAGTCATATTCATCACCCCTTTCTACTGTGATTTCCACAAAGGCAGAAGCTATCTCTTGCTCATCTTTTTCTCCAAGGCCTAACTCAATGCTGAGCACACTGTATTGGTTAATGATTAATTAACAAACTTAATGTTAACAGTAATCAATAGTTATTATAATATAAGACTAGCTTCCCATAAACATGCCAATAGAATCTCACAGAGTTAGAACTTAACACATTTCTTAGAATCTCCTGTTGGTTTGCCAAAAAGGCAAAAGAACCCAAAATATGAGGCTAGGGGTTCTCCTGTTGAATGATGGAGAAGGGGGTGTGTTTACAACCAGCCAGGAGAACATGCACAAAGGCTGAGAGGTGGAGAGAATATGATGCAGATGTGGGAAGTTAGAGGATTGCATTTAGGGAGAAGACTAAAATTGCTGTTGGAGAGGTTAGAAGAGTGACTTATGAAAAGCCCTTTATGTCATGCTAAGAAGTTTGTTACTTAATTGAAATGAGTGGGAAGCCATTGATCGACTTTACGCAGCAAATTGACATTAAGACAATTGTGCATGCAATGATCAGACACCATCCAGTGGAGAGAAAGAAGGACTAGACTGGAGAGAAGGGAATCTGTTAGGACCTATTTTAGTAACCCAAGTGGGCAATGAGTAGGTCTTTATCTACAGAAGGAATGGAGATAAGAGAGTAGAAGGAGGTAATAAAGTGGTGGAACTGACCTGACTGAGAACTGGCTGGATGTAAAAAGAAAAGAGAACCTCATAGAAGGCTGAAGAATATAAAATATGAATGAAAAATAGGAAAAAAAAGACTGTGGGCACTCTGAAGAAAGAGTCCTAGAGGACAAAGAGAGAACCAGAAGTCAGCTGTCTTGCAGAAGCAGGCTGAGCTTACATCTTGGTCTGCTCACACCAGCAGCCAGTCCAGTTTGTATCCGTTTCTTTGGTCCAACTATTATTAGTTCCATCTTTCATTTTACAGTTGTTATCCTCTGCAGAAACCAAAACTAAATTGACATGTCTTTAATTTAACATGAATGAAATCTTACCGAATTCAATCTTGTCTCTGCTTCTACCTGACACAATAAACACCTCTTCTTCCCACCAGAATTTTGACCATAGCTCCCAATTTCTGTTCAGTTGTCTCCATCTCAATCCTTTTATACCTTCTAGTCCAGGCCATTATCTCCTTCTCCTCATTCCCCACCCTTAAAATACAAAACAATACAGATAGCTTGGAGATCTGGAAGGGTTGGTAGGTGTATGAAATATTCTCATAGCTTCTATATATTGATCATCCCCCAGGATGTACAGCTGCCAACTCGCATACGCAGGTGGACTCTGTTTTGACCTGTAACAACCTGGAAGGAATCTTACACCATCATCAGCTTTCTCAAAAGAGCTTACCTCTTCAAGTGAATTATGGGCTTTATACTTTTTCTGAATATTGATGGGGTCAAAGCAATTATTCATACTGTAACATGCAGCATTTCACTTGAAAGTACCCTTTTGCAACAGCCTCTCCCCAGTCCCCCGAATCTCTTCGGCTGTTCCATCAAGCAGTCATTCTTTGCTACCCTCAATAACACAGAGACCGGCCACCTACTCTCTTTCCTCTTGGAGAATTATCTTCCTTTCCCTCTTTCCCTGCCTACTTCACACCCCAATATATGCCCTGTATCAGAAGGATAATTAAATGTAGCACCAGCTTCTATCTCCAAAACTAACATTTCCATATCCATCATTTTTCTCAGCAAACAAAGAATTATCCAGCTACCAGAATTCAACTTTTAATAAGGCAGTGGGGGATTTTAAATAACCAACTCCTAACTTTAAACTACTTAATACTACACAAGTTCTCAGGATAATCTACAAAACTCCCCTTCTGCTGAAGCTATTCTTAAATTCTAGGAAGGAATGGAAACACTGGGTTTTATATTTATCTTCTTAAAAATGTAGATTTAGGAACAACATCCATAGAGATTTTAACTGAGTAGATCTGGGGTGAGGCCTATGAACCTGCTTCCTTAATAAGCACCCTTGGTGATTCTGATGCAGGAATCCATGCTTTGAGAAATGATTGTTAAGACTCAATAATATAACATCATTTAAGTGAAGAATTTGAATTCCAACTCGAGATGCTAGAAACAGTCTCAACAAATCCAGCCCTACAGATATGGCAATAAGTTCTTCCCTTTCCCTGTATCAGGCCAGAACAATGGCAGCAGGATTTCTGTGCATCAGAGGTAGGAGGAAGAGAAGTGAATAGGCTAGAAACATTTCTAACTTAAGTAAAGAAGGTTCAGGTTTAAGAACATAGAACACTACAGAGGACCAGTAGAAAGGAAATAAATACCTTCAGTCTAAAAGTGGAAGGGGAAGTCAATCTCATATGGAAGATTTCTCTATATCGAGCAATTTTAGTTCATGGAAAATGTATACCAGGATTAATTTTTTACATCATAACACTAAGAGTTGTCATCTTAAAAAGAAGAATAAATTAAAGGAAAATTAGACAGCATATGATATCCGAGTAAATAATTAAAAAATCATAGATCAGATACAAATTTTTGTGAAAGTGGACTGAAAACAAAGACACGTTTTGTTGATTTTGTTTAAACTGAACAAGGATAATTCTCCTTAATATCTAGATACATGAGATCTAAATAAAGTGAGTAATGCTGGGAATGTACACTCTGGAGCTGGACTTTGCATTCAATTCTCAGATCCAACACCTAAAACAATCAGAACATAATCCTTTGGGTCTTTTATTTATAAAATAGGGCTAATGATGTGCTTTGTAAGACTGTTATGATGAGTTATTGCATTTAAGGTACTTAGATAGTGCCTGAACCATAAAATGCCCTTTAATTTGATAAATGATAGCTATTAATATTAAAAAGATGAGCATGTTTTGAATATCTTTATTTGACTAATGTAAGGAAAGGAGTGTAGCAAAATAAAAAGTAAGTTAAATGGGTAGAGATTACGGAATTAGAGGGAAAACCATAAATAATCTGAGCACCTACAGAATGTGGTAATAGCTATGGTAAGAAGCTTTTGGAAAAATTTTACTGTCTCCTTGGATACCACAAGGGCTCATTTCCCAAGGGCTTCTCAAGTCAGAAGTCCAATAGTTTCTCTGCTTAGCAGAAGTATGGAAAAGTGAGGCTGGGTGCGGTGGCTTACACCTGCAATCCCATCACTTTGGGAGGCCGAGGCGGGCAGATCATCTGAGGTCAGGAGTTCTAAACCAGCCTGGCCAACATGGGGAAATCCCATCTCTACTAAAATACAAAAATTAGCTGGGTATGGTTGTAGGTGCCTGTAATCCCAGCTACTCGGGAGGCTGAGACACGAGAATCACTTGAACCCAGGAGGCAGAGGTTGTGGCGAAACAAGATTGCATCACTGCACTCCAGCCTGGGCAACGGAGTGAGACTCCATCTCAAAAAACAAAAAAAAAAGTATGAAAATGTGTTGTTTATTTAATTTTTACATGAGCTGTGCATGCTAGTTGAATAAAGGGCTCCTTCAACAAGGATGGGACAAGAATGGTTTACAATTTGGAAAATTAGGAAGATGGGCTTTCCCTTAACTTTTCATTTTAATTAAATGTCATAGAAATTTTCAACAAAATGACAAGATGGAAAGGAAAGAGGAAAAAATGATGATAAAAACTGGAGATGTATAAAATCTGTGTTTGCCTATTCTTGTTCACCTCCTAGTGGGCCACCTCATTTTATACCAATTTGAATAGTTTTTATATGTACTGTCATATACATTATCTTTCTCTTTCCTGATCCTAGTCTTCAACAATCTTTTTTCTTATTTGTCAGTTTTTTATTTAATAAACTATAAGCTCCATGAGGACATGAACCATGTCAGGCTTCGTGAAATGTGAAGCAATATAATATAGCTTTGGTTATACTTGAAGCAGGATGACATAGAATTTGAAGGGTATCAGTTATAATGCTTTGGTTTGGTGGCATTAAATCCCATTCAAACTGGTTCAAATGATAAAAGGGACTTGTTGGCCCAATATAACTAAAATTTCCAGCAGTTGAACTCAGTTTAGATGAAGCTTGATCCAGTGATGACATCAAGACCTGGTTTCCAGTTACCAAGACCAGATTTACCATTTTTCTATTTCCATACAATCTCTAACTCTCTTTCTCCTTATAAAAATGGGGAAAATAGTATTTACTTTACAGATTTTTTGTGAAAGATAATTATACATGTAATACACTCAGCAAAGTGTCATACATTGTATGCAGCAAATAAAAATTAGCCCTTATGATTAGGTACCTAGTACCCCTCAGAACAGAGCCTAACATAGTATTTATTGTAAATATAGAAAATATTTATTGAATGAACAAATGACTAAGTTAATGAACAAATGCTTGTGCACACACATAATTTCACTTGCTTCACCAAATAGGTAGGAGAGAGAAAAGCCCAAAAGCAGTGAAACTAAATAAATATTTGGATAGGCTGCTTTTTATATACTTAGCCAGTGCACATAAGCACAGTTTCTAAACATTTTCCAGGTCACTGATTTCCCACAAAGACATGAGGGTCTAAATTAAGCTATAAAACTACCTTTCAGATATTTTAACGTAAAAAACATAGATGCATAAGGAGGTAGAGCAAGATGATCAAATAGAAGCCTCTGACCATCACCTCCCCTGCAGGAACACCAGACTGAATAACTATCCACACGAGAAAGCATCTTCATAATAACCAAAACTAAAATAAGCAATTACACTACCTGGTTTTAACATCATATCAAGTTAAGAGGCACTAAAGATGGTTGAAAACAGTCTTAAATTGCTGACACCAACCCCCTCACCATCCCTCCGGAGGGGCCACACAGTGCAGAGAGAGAATTTGTGTGCTTGGGGGAGAGAGAGCACAGTTATTGTGAAGCATTGCATTGGAACTCAGTGCTGCTCTGTCACAGCAGAAACCAATATGGGGCAGAATTCAGCCAGTGCTCATGGAGGGAGCATTTAAACCAACCCTAGCTGCAGGTGCATCACCCACCTCAGGGGTCAGAACCCAAGTTCTGACTAGCCCCAGCAATGCAGGCTAACACGCTCTTGAAACGTATCAAGGCCACAAGGACTGCAATTCCTGGGCAAGTCCTGGTGCTATGCTGGGCTCAGAGACAGTGGACTTGGAGTACACATGACCTAGTGAGACACCAGGTGGGGTGGCCAAGCAAGTGCTTGCATCACTCCTCCCCCAACCCCAGGCAGCACAGACCACAGCTCTGGGAGGCATTTCTTTCCTCTGCTTGAGGAGAGAAGGAAGTATAAAGAGGACTTTGCCTTATAACTTGGTACCATTTCAGCTACAGTAGAATAGAGCACCAGGCAGAGTCCTAAGGCTCCTCTTCCAGGCTCTAGCTCCTCACTGACATTTCTAGACATACCCTGGGTCAGAAGGGAACCCACTGCCTTGAAAAGAAGGACCAAGTCCTGGCAGGATTCATCACCTGCTGACTAAAGAGCCCTTGGACCATGAGTAAATATCAGTGGTACCCAGGCAGTTATCACCACAGGCCTTGGGTGAGACTCAGGATAATGCTGGATTCAGGTATGATCCAGTGCATCATTATCAGCTATGATAGCCAAAGGGAGAGATGCATTCTGTTTGAGGAAAGGAGAGGGAAGAGTAAAGGGGACTTTGCTCTGCAGCTTGGGCACCAGCACAGCCACGGGGTATAGAGCACCAGCCAGGCTCCTGGGATTCCCAATTCCAGGCTTGGGTCCTGGATGGCATTTCTGGACCTACCCTGGGCCAGATGGGAGTCCACTTCCCTGAAGGGGGAGACTCAGGCCTGGCAGCATTCACCAGAATGTCTGAAGAGCCCTTAGGCCTTAAGTGGACATCAGTGGTAGTCGAGTAGTAAGTGCCATAAACCTGTAGCAGTAGTGGCCATGGAGTGAGACTCTTTCTGCATGAGGAAAGGAGAGGGAAGAAGAGTGGGTAGGACTTGTCTTGCAGTTAGGGTGCCAGCTCAGCTGCAGTAGAACAGAGCACCAAGTAGATTCCTAATGTTCCCAACTCTAGGCACTGGATCCTGGACAACATTCCAGGACCTGCTCTGGGCCAGTCAGAGTTCATCATGCTGAAGGATAGGACACAAGCCTGGCAGGATTTATTACCTGCTGAATGAAGAGTGCTTGAGCCTTGAGTGAACCAAGGTGGTGCCCAACAAGGGGTCATTACAGGCCTTGGCCAAGACCCACTGCAGTGCTGGCTTTGGATATCACCTCATGCAATCCCAGTGTTGGTGGCCAATGGGGGTGTTTGTGTCACCTTTCCACTAGTTCCAGGCAGCTCAGCAGAGAGAGAATCTGTTTCATTGGCAGAAACTAAGGGAAGAGAACAAGGGTTTCTTCCTGGTAATCTAGGGACTTCTCCCAGATCTTAGCCAAGACAACCAAGGAAATACCTCTATGAGTTGACAAATATCACAGTGTTGCTGGGTATGGGATGCCCCAAATGTAGATATGGCTGCAATGACCAAAGATTTAGATCACAACATTCAATTCCCTTTGAATAATTAGAAATTTTTCCCAGGAAGAATGGATATAAAAAGCCCAGACTGCAAAGACAATAATGAATACCTAACTCTTCAATGCCCAGACATTAACAAATGTCCACAAGAATTAAGACCATCCAGTAACACATTACCTCATCAAACAAACCAAATAAGGTACCAGTGCCCAATCCTAGAGTGACAGATGTGTGACCTTTCATAAAAAGAATTCAAAATAGCTGCTTTGAGGAAGCTCAGCAAAATTCAAGATATCACAGAGAAGAAATTCAGAATCCCATCAGATAAATTTAACAGAGATTGAAATAATTTTTTAATAGTCATTATTATTCACCAAGCCTGGCATGGTTCATGTCCTCACAGAGCTTATAGTTTATTAAAAATAAAAACTGACAATTAAGAAAAAAGAAATTTTGCTAAAGACTAGGATCAGGAAAAAGCCGTATAATATATACGACAGCATATATAAAAATATTCAAATAATAACAGAGAACTTCCCAAACCTAGAGAAAGATATCAATATTCAAGTACAGGAGGTTTATAAAACACCAAGCAGATTTAATTCAAATAAGACTACCTCAAAGTAGTTAATAAGCAAACTCCCAAAGGTCAAGGACAAAGGAAGGATCTAAAAGCAGCAAGAGAAAATAAACAAGTAACATACAAAGGAGCTGAAATACATCTGGCAGCAGACTTCTCAGTGGAAACCTTCCAGGCCAGGAGAGAGTGGAATGACATATTTAAAATGCTAAAAGAAAAAAAAAAAAAAAAACTTTTATCCTAGGATAGTATATCCAGCAAAACTATCCCTCAAACATGAAGAAGAAATAAAGATTTCTCCAGAAAAACAAAAACTGAGGTATTTCATTAACACCAGACCTGTCCTACAAGAAATACTAAAGAGAGTTCTTCAGTCTGAAAGAAAAGGATGTTAACAAGCAATAAGAAATCATCTGAGGTACAAAAATCATAGGTACTAGTAAATATGCAGACAAACATAGAATATTATAACACTGTAACTAGAGTACAATCTACTCACACATTGAGTAGAAAGACTAAAAATGAGCATATCAAAAATAATAACTACAACAATTTGAAAACATAGACAGTATAACAAGATATAAACAGAAACAACAAAAAGTTAAAAAGTGGGGGAGAGGAAATTAAAGTGTAGAGATTTTATTAATTTTATTTTTGTTTGTTCATTAGTGTGTTTTTGCAATCAGTTTTGTCATTAATTTAAAATAATGCACTGTAAGATGTTACTTACCTCAAATGATCTGTCCACCTTGGCTTCCCAAAGTGCTGAAATTACAGGCGTGAGCCACCATGCCCGGCCTGACCAACATGGTGAAACCACACCTCTACTAAAAATAAAAAATTAGCCAGGCGTGGTGGTACTTACCTGAAATGCCAGCACTTTGGGAGGCTGAAGCGGGTGCATCATTTGAGGTAAGTAACATCTTATAACCCATTATTTTAAATTAATGACAAAACTATATATCTAGATAGATAGATAGATAGATAATCATTAACACCAGATCTGTCCTACAAGAAATTCTAAGGAGAGTTCTTCAGTCTGAAAGAAAAGGATGTTAACAAGCAATAAGAAATCATTTGAGGTAGAAAACTCATAGGTATTAGTAAATACACACACATACACACACACACATATATCATTATATAATATATAATGGGATATATATATCATTATATGATATATAACGGGATATATATATATCATTATATGATATATAACGGGATATATATATATCATTATATGATATATAACGGGATATATATATCATTATATGATATATAACGGGATATATATATCATTATATGATATATAACGGGATATATATATATATCATTATATGATATATAACGGGATATATATATATCTATATATATATATATATATATATCTATATATATATATATATCTCCTATCAGTTCTGTCCCTCTTGGGAGCCCTGACTAATACAATGATGATACTGCAAAAAGCAATCTACAGATTCAATGCAATTCTCATCAAAATGCCATCATCATTTCTCACAAAACTAGAAAAAACAATCCCAAAATTCATATGGAACCAAAAAAGAGCCCACATAGCTAAAGCAAGACTAAGCAAAAAGAACAAACCTGGATATATCACATTACCTCACTTCAAGCTATATTACAAGGCTATAGTTAACAAAACATCATGGTGCTAGCATAAAAATAAACACATAGACCAAATGGAACAGGATAGAGAAACCAGAAATAAAGCCAAATACTTATAGCCAACTGATCTTCAACAAAGCAAACAAAAACACAAAGTGGGGAAAGACACCCTAATCAACAAATGGTGCTGGGATAACTGGCAAGCCACATGTAGGAGAATGAAACTGGATCTTCATCTCTCACCTTATACAAAAATCAACTGAAGATGGATCAAAGACTTAAATTTAAGACCTGAAACTGTAAAAATTCCAGAAGATAACATAAGAATAACTATTCTAGACATTGGCTTAAGCAAGGAGTTTATGAACAAGAACCAAAAGCAAATGTGACAAATACAAAAATAAATAAATGGGATGTAATTAACCTAAAAGCTTCTGCACAATAGAAGAAATTATCAGCAGAGTAAACAGACAACCCACAAAGTGGGAGAAAATATCTGCAAAGTATGCATCTAACAAAGGACTAATATCCAGAATCCACAAGGAATTCAAACAAATCAGCAAGAAAAAAAAAAATCCCATCAAAAAGTGGGCAAAGGACGTAAATAAAAAATTCTCAAAAGAAGATATATAAATGGCCAACAAACATATGCACAAATGATCAATGTCACTAATTATTAGGAAAATGCAAATCAAAACCACAATGAGATACCACATTACTCCATAATTTAAAAATTTAAAAAAAAGATATTGGAGTGGATGCAGTGGAAAGGGAGCCATTTTACACTGCTGATAGAAATGGAAACTACTACAATCACTACAGAAAACTGTATGGATGTTTCTTAAAGAACTAAAATTAGAACTACCATTCAATCCAGCAATCTCACTACTGGGTATCTACCCAAAGGAAAATAAGTCATTAAATGAAAAAGACAAGACACTTGTACTTCATGTTTATAACAGCATAATTCACAACTGTAAAAATACAGAACCAGCCTAAATGTGCATCAACCAAGTCGATAAAGAAAATGTGGTATATATACTCCATGGAATGCTACTCAGCCATAAAAAGGAAGGAAATAATGGCATTCATAGCAACCTAGATGGAGTTGGAGACTATTATTCTAAGTGAGGTAACTCAGGAATGAAAAACCAAACATTGTATGTTCTCACTTATAAGTGGGAGCTAAGCTATGGGGATGCAAAAGCGTAAGAATAAAATAATGGACTTTGGGGACTCAGCAGGAAGGGTGGAAGGTGGATGAGGGATAAAAGACTACACATTGGATACAGAGTACACTGCTCGAGTGACAGTGCACCGAAATCTCAGAAATTACCCCTAAAAAACTTTTCCATGTAATCAAAAACTACCTGTTCCCCAAAAACTGTTGAAATAAAAATGTAAAAAGACAGAGAGAGAGGCTGAATTTGGTTAAAAACAAAAACATCCAACAATCTGTTACCTACAAGAAACACACTTCACCTAGAAAGACACACATAGACCAAAAATAAATGAATGGAAAAATATATTCCATGCCAAAGGAAAACAAAAAAGAGCAGGAGTAGCTGTAATTACATCAGAGAGAATGGATTTCAAAACGATAACTATAAAAAGAGACAAAGAAGTTTATTATATAATGACAAAACTATAAAAAGAGACAAAGAAGATTATTATGTAATGATAAAAAGGTCAATTCAGCAAGGGAGTATAACAATTATGAATATACATATGCACCCAACACTAGAGCACTCAGATAAATAAAGCAAATATAATTAAAGCTTAAGAGAAAGATAGACCCCAAAACAATAACAGCTTGAGATATCAATCCCATACTTTCAGCACTGGAAAGATCATTGGGGCAGAAAATCAACAAGGAAACATGGGACTTAATCTGCACTATAGTCTAAATTGACCTAATAGATATTACAGAACATTTTATCCACTGGCTGCAACGTACACATTCTTCTCCTCAGCACTTGGATGATTCTCAAGGATAGACCATATGTTAGGCCATGAAACAAGTCTTTACAAATTTGAAAGAATTGCAATCATATCAAGTATCTTCTCTGACCACAATGGGATAAAACTAGATATAACAACAAGAGAAACTTGGAAACTATCCAAATATATAGAAATTAAACAATATGATCCTGATTGACCAGTGGGTCAATAAAGAAACTAAGAAGGGATTTAAAATTTTTTTGAGAAAAATAAAAATGAAAATACTCTGTACCAAAATGTATGGGATACAGCAAAAGCTATATGAAGAGGAAAGTTTATAGCAAAAAGCACCTACATCAAAAAAAAAGTCAAAAACTTCAAGAAAAAAAGAATCTAATGATATATCTTGACATGAAGAGACACTTTTCAAAAGAAGATATACATATGGCCAATAATCATATAAAAAATCTCAGTATCACTGATGATTAGAGAAATGCATATCAAAACCGCAATTAGATACCATCTCACAGCAGACAGAATGGCTATTATTAAATTAAAAAGTCAAAAAATAGCAGATGTTGGCAAAGTTGTGGAGAAAATGCTTATACATCCTTGGTGGGAGTGTAAATTAGTTCAACCATTGTGGAAAGCAACGTGGTGATTCTTGATCCCTTCCTTACACCTTACACAAAAATTAATTCAAGATGGATTAAAGACTTAAATGTTAGACCTAAAACCATAAAAACCCTAGAAGAAAACCTAGGCAATACCATTCAGGACATAGGCATGGGCAAGGACTTCATATCTAAAACACCAAAAGCAATGGCAATAAAAGCCAAAATTGACAAATGAGATCTAATTAAACTGAAGAGCTTCTGCACAGCAAAAGAAACTACCATCAGAGTGAAGAGGCAACCTACAGAATGGGAGAAAATTTTTGCAACCTACTCATCTGACAAAGGGTTAATAACCAGAATCTACAATGAACTCAAACAAATTTACAAGAAAAAAACAAACAACCCCATCAAAAAGTGGGCGAAGGATATGAACAGACACTTATCAAAAGAAGACATTTACGCAGCCAAAAAACACATGAAAAAATGCTCATCATCACTGGCCATCAGAGAAATGCAAATCAAAACCACAATGAGATAACATCTCACACCAGTTAGAATAGCGATCATTAAAAAGTCAGGAAACAACAGGTGCTGGAGAGGATGTGGAGAAATAGGAACACTTTTACACTGTTGGTGGGACTGTAAACTAGTTCAACCATTGTGGAAGTCAGTGTGGCGATTCCTCAGGGATCTAGAACTAGAAATACCATTTGACTCAGCCATCCCATTACTGGGTATATACCCAAAGGATTATAAATCATGCTGCTGTAAAGACACATGCACACGTATGTTTATAGCGGCACTATTCACAATAGCAAAGACTTGGAACCAACCCAAATGTCCAACAACGATAGACTAGATTAAGAAAATGTGGCACATATACACCATGGAATACTATGCAGCCATAAAAAATGATGAGTTCATGTCCTTTGTAGGGACATGGATGAAACTGGAAACCATCATTCTCAGCAAACTATCGCAAGGACAAAATACCAAACACCGCATATTCTCACTCATAGGTGGGAATTTAACAATGAGAACACATGGACACAGGAAGGGGAGCATCACACACTGGGGCCTGTTGTGGGGCGGGGGAGGGGGGAGGGATAGCATTAGGAGATATACCTAATGCTAAATGACGAGTTAATGGGTGCAGCACACCAACATGGCACATATATACATATGTAACAAACCTGCATGTTGTGCACATGTACCCTAAAACTTAAAGTATAATAATAATAAAATTTAAAAAAAATTTAAAAATAAAATAAAATTACCATTTATGGATGCAAAAAAAAGAAAGAGCTAAAATCAGAACTATCATTTGATCCAGCAATCCCATTGCTGTGTATATAACCAAAGGAATATAAACCATTCTACCATAAAGACATGCATGTGAATGTTCATTGCAGCACTATTCAAAATAGCAAAGACATGGAGTCAACCTAAATGCCCATCAATGGTAGGCTGGATTTTTTTAAAAATATAGTACATATACACCAGGGAATACTATGCAGCCATAAAAAAGAATATTATATCCTTTGCAGGAACATGGATCTCGGAGCTAGAGGCCCTTAACCTTAGCAAACAAACACAGGAACAGAAAACCAAATACCTCATATTCTCACTTACAGGCCTGAGCTAAATGATGAGAACACATGCACACAAAGTGGGGAACAACAGACACTGGGGCCTACCTGAGGGTGGAGGATGGAAAGAGGAAAAGGAGCAGAAAAAATAACTATTGGGCACTAGGATTTGTACACGGGTGACAAAGCAGCTTGTACAACAAATCCTCATGCTGCAAGTTTACCTCTGTAACAAACCTGCACATGTCCTCTGAACCTAAAATAAAAAGTAAAAAAAAATCATTCTCAGAGAGGGATTATTAATGGAAGGTAAATAGGGGGAAGTTTTCATTTTTCATACTGTGCATTTCCTCTTGAATTTTCTGACATGTATTTTTTTTCTGAAATATTAAAAGTGTTCAACCGGGTGGTGAGCTCATTGGTCATTCTGAGGTAGTTTTCTTCATTTTTTCTGTATTAAATATTCTATGTTATTGAATAAAGCTATTATGAGTTAACAAGAGAAAAAAAAGAACTAGAAAAAAGCAAAGAAAACTCAAAACTTGCAGAAGAAAAGAAGTGATGAAGACCAGAGCAGAAATAAATGAAATCAAAAAAAAAAAAAAAAAGAAATACAAAAGATCAATGAAAGAAAAAGTTGGTGATATGGTTTGGCTCTATGTCCCCACTGAAATCTTATCTCGAATTATAATCTCCACATGTCAAGGGAGGGAACTGGTGGGATGTGATTGGATCATGAGGTTGGTTTCCCCATGCGATTCTCGTGATGCTGAGTGAGTTCTCACAGATCTGATGGTTTAAACGTGGCAGTTTCCCCTGTGCTCTCTCTCACTCTCTCCTGTCACTATGTAAGATATGCCTTGCTTCCGCTTTGCTTTCTGCCATGACTGTAAGTTTCCTGAGGCCTCTCCAGCCATGTAGAACTGTGAGTCAATTAAACCTCTTTTATTTATAAATTACCCTGTCTCAGGTAGTATCTTTATCATAGTGTGAAAATGGACTAGAAGAGTTGGCTTTTTGAAAAGATAAACAAAATTGACAAGTCATAGCGAGACTGACAAAAAAAAAGCAGAAAAAATCAAATAAATAAAATCAGATATAAAAAAGGACACATTACAACTGATACTGCGGAAATTCAAAGACTCATTAGAGACTCCTATGTGCAACTATATGCTAATACATTGGAAAATCTAGAAGAAATGGACAAATTCCTAGACACATACAACCTAGTAAAATTGAACAATGAAGAAATCCAAAGCCTAAGCAGACCAATAACAACTAATGAGATCGAAGCCATAATGAAAAAGTCTCCCTGAAAACAAAATCCTGGGACTTGATGGCTTCACTGCTGAATTTTACCACACATTTAAAGAAAAACTAATACCAATCCTACTCAAATTATTACAGAAAATAGAGGAGGAAATAATATTTCCAAACCCATTCTATGAGGTCAGTATTACCCTGATACCAAAACCAAAGACACATCCAAAAAAGAAAACTGCAGGACAATATCCCAGATGAACATTCATGCAAAAATCCTCCAACAAAAATACTAAAACTTGAGTTTAATAACACATTGAAAAGATCATTCATCACGACCAAATGGGATGCCAGGATGGTTCAATATAAAAAAATCAATCAATGTAATACATCAAATCAACAGAATGAAAGACCAAAACCCTATGATAGTTTCAATTGATGCTGAAAAAGCATTTGATGAAATTCAACATCCCTTCATGATAAGAAAAAAAAACCTTCAAAAAACTGGCTATAGAAGGAAAATATCTCAATACAATAAGAGCCACATATTACAGACCCACTGCTAGTATACCAAGGGGGAAAATCTGAAAGCCTTTCCTTTAAAATCTGAAACACAGCAAGAATGCCCACTTTCACCGCTGTTATTCAACATAGTACTGGAAGTCCTAGGTAGAGCCACAGACAACAGAAACAAAGGGCATCCATATTGGAAAGGAAGAAGTCAGATTACCCTTGTTTGCAGATGATATAATCTTGTATTTAGAAACATGTAAAGAATCCACCAAAAAACAACTAGAACTGATAAATAAATTCAGTAAAGCTGCAGGATACCAAAGCAACATCAAAAATCAGTTGCATTTCTATATGCCAACAGTGAACAATCCAAAAAAGAAATAAAAAAATTCATCTCATCTATAATAGCTACAGATAAAATTAAATACCTAGAGATTAACTTAACCAAAAAAGTGAAAAATCTCTACAATGAAAACTATAAAACATTGATGCAAGAAACTGAAGAGGACACCACAAAATGGAAAGATATTCCATGTTTTGGACTGGATGAATCACTACTGATAAAGTGTTCATAGTATCCAAAGCAATCTAAACATTCAACCTAATCGCTATCAAAATACCAATGACATTCTTAACAGAAACAGAAAAAATAATCCTAAAATTTATGCGGAACAACAAAAGACCTAGAATAGCCAAAGCCATACTGAGCAAAAAGAACAAAAGTAGAGGAGTCCCATTACCTGACTTCAAATTATACTATAGAGCTTTAGTAACCAAAAAAGCAAGGTACTGGCATAAATACAGATACACAGACCAATGAAACAGAAAAGAGAACTCAGAAACAAATCCATGTCTTTATGGTGAACTCACTTTCAACAAAGGTGGTACACTCCAAGGACATACACTGGAGAAAACACAGTTTGTAATAGATGGTGCTGGGTAAACTGGATATCATATGCAAAAGAATGAAACTAGACCCCTATCTCTCATCATATACAAAAATCAAATCAAAATGGATTAAAGGCTTAAATCTAAGGCCTCACGCTTACAAGAAAACATTGGAGAAACTCAAGACATCGGTCCAGGTAAAGACTTCTTGAGTAATACCCCACAAGCACAGGCAACCAAGCAAAAATGGAAAAATGGTATCACATCAAGTTAAAAAGCTTCTGCACAGCAAAGGAAACAATTAAAACAAAATGAAGAGACAACACACAAAATGGAGAAATATTTGCAAACTATCCATCTGACAAGGAATTAATAACCAGCATTTATCACCCCAAAATTCAAACAACTCTATAGGAAAAAACATGTAATAATCTGATTTTAAAACAAGCAAAGTATCTGAATAGACATTTCTCAAAAGAAGACATATAAATGAAAACCAGATATATAAAAAATACTCAATATCATTGATCATCAGAGAAAGTCAAATCAAAACTACAATGAGATATCATTTCACCCCCGATAAAGTGGCTTTCATCCAAAAGACAGGCAATAACAAATGCTGCTGAGGGTGTGGCGAAAAGGGAACTCTCATACACTCTTGGTGGGAACGTAAATTAGTATAGCCACTATGGAGAACAGTTTGGAGATTACTCAAAAAACTAAAAATAGAACTGTTATATGATCTAGCAATCCTACTGCTCAGTAAATACCCCAAAGTAAGAAATCAGTATGTTAAAGAGATATCTGCACTCTTCCATTTATTGCAGTACTATTCACAATAGTCAAGATTTGGAAGCAACCTAAGTGTCCATCAGCAGGTGAATGGATAAAGAAAATGTGGTACATAAACACAATGGAGTACTATTCAGCCATAAAAAAGAATGAGATTCCGTCATTTGCAACAACATGAATGGAACTGGAGGACATTATGTTAAGTGAAATAAACTAAGCACAGAAAAACAGAGTTCACTTGTTCTCATTTATTTATGGGAGCTGAAAATTAAAACAATTGAACTCATGGAGATAGACAGTAGAATGATGGTTACCAGAGTCTGGGAAGAATAGTGGAGGTTGAGGGGAGTGGATATGATTAATAGGTAAAAAAATATAGTTAGACAGCATTTGATAGCAAAACAGAGTGACTATAGTCAACAATAATTTAACGTATATTTAAAATTAACTAAAAGAGAATAAGTGGAATGTTTGTTACACAAAGAAATTATAAATGTTTGAAGTGTTGGATAACCCCATTTACTCCGATGTGATTACTATGCATTGTGCATTGTACACCTGTATCAAAATATCTCATGTACCTCATAAATATATATATCTACTTTGGACCCATAAAATAAAAAATTAAATTAAAAAAATATAGATGCCAGAAAATGAATTTTATGTTTAAACAAATTGTAAAATAGTTATAAATTTAACTTACCTAGCAGGAAAAATAGACATTGTCCCTTGGCCAGCCAGTACCTGACATGTAGGAGGTCTTTATCCGAGCTTTTTTACTCAACATTAAAAAACTCTCTCTTGTTTGAGCCATGGCATATTGCATTGCAAAGAACCTTGGCAGTCATACATCTAATTCAATTTTTAACTAGCACAGAGTATCCCCTAATGCCCTAATGCCATGCCTTCAGCATTTCCATTGTTTTCAAAGGGTATATGTAAGAATTTCCCTTAAAAGCTTTGGGCTTCTGGGAAATGGTATTATAATAAAGGCATTGTAATATTATTTTGTTCATCATAACTTTTACATATAGGATGACATTTAAAAACTTATGCTTATCTTTTTAAGCCTATAGATGTATCTTTTAGAAATGCTTTTTGCTATTGCTATAAAGAGTTAATCCACAATTCTTTGCAGCATCTATTCTGAAGTACAGTTTTCAGTAGTATTGCCCCATTCATCATCTGCAGCAGTCTCAAGAAATACACTACTGATGTAAGAAATCTCTAGGAAGAGGCTAATGGTGAAGTAGTAGGGAAAGAAAGAAACTTCAAATATATATAATATAAAATATGTCTTGAACATTCAGTGTTTACAAATGGATCCTGTCTTCATCTGCTCAGGCTGCCATAACAAAATATCATATACTGTATAGCCTAAATAACAAAAATTTATTTCTTAGAGTTCTGGAGGCTGTGAAGTCCAAGATCAAGGTGCCAGCAAGGTAGCTTTCATTCTGAAGCCTCTTCTCTTAGCTTGCAAGCAGCCACCATTTTGCTGTAAGTTCAAATGACCTTTTCTTTCTTCACATAAAGGGCAAGTTCTCTGGTGCCTCTTCTTAAAAGAATGCTAATTTTATTGTATCACAACCCCACCCTCACTACCTCGTTTAACTTTAATTACCTCCATATAGGCATTATCTCCAAATACAGTCACATTAGAAGTTAGGGCTTCAACATATAAAGCTTGAGAGGACATGATTTAGTCACAGTAGATATTTTAAACAAAGGTATTGTGCATACAAAAAAGCTTTCATAACATTGGGTATTTTTAAAACAAAAGGAAGCATTTTATATAAGCAAACAAGCTTCATTTAATTACTATTCTGCTATGTTTCACTCATGACACTTGATAGTGCAGAGAAATCAATCGATGGTAATTTAAGTGTCTCTAGTAAATGATTCACTTTAATTGAGAAAGATACTTAAAATCTGTCTGGGCGTGGTGGCTCATGCCTGTAATTCCAGCACTTTGGGAGGCTGAGGTGGGTGGATCACAAGGTCAGGAGATCGAGACCATCCTGGCTAACATGGTGAAACCCCATCTCTACTAAAAATACAAAAAAATTAGCCAGGCGTGGTGGTGGGTGCCTGTAGTCCCAGCTACTTGGGAGGCTGAGGCAGGAGAATGGTGTGAACCCAGGAGGAGGAGCTTGCAGTGAGCTGAGATCGCACCACTGCACTCCAGCCTGGGGGACAGAGCGAGATTCCGTGTCAAGAAAAAAAAAAAAAAGATACTTAAAATCTGATAAAACAGAAGATAATGAAAAGGTATTAGGGATTACTAAACTGAGATATTTCAAATAAAATATAAAATAATTATATAAACTAAAGATACAACTATAGGTATCAGTTCCAACAACTGTCTAAAAACAAAGATCAAATTGGAAGATATGTATTTTTAATTACTGATTTTGGCTTTTTATCATACTTTGTTTCCTTAAAGAAGCTTAAAACAAGAGAGTGATGTCAGCAAGATTCAGACTAGGAGGGCCTAGACTCTCATTTCCTCAATGGAGGCACTGACTCGGTAGTAACAGTAACAGTAATACAGAGACGATTTCTCTTTGTGAGAAATCTAGAACCAGTTAAGAGGCTCGTGTATCCCATGCAAGTGCAAAACCAACACATTGAAGCCAGTAAGAAAATCTGTGGCATTTATTTGCCATAGTTTTCCCTTGTGACAATGTAGTACAACTAGAAAGAAATGCTTAGTTCACAGCTTCTCCCAAGGAAAGGAAAGAGAAGACTGGACTGTACATCCATCACTGTGACTTTTCAAGAGTGCTGCCTTAGAAACCAGCTTCTAACTTGCCTAAATTTAAGTGCTGACAGAAAACGGTGTCTTACTGGGGGCCACTGAGAACAAATGCAATGGTTTAGGCTAACCTGCATTCACTCGTCATAGTCCCTCCCCAAGCTGAGCATGGAATAAGTGGTAAAAAAACGAAAAACAAACAAAAAAAAAAACCTCCCACTTCTGGCTTCTTTCTGTAGAGGGAAAGAGTTGAAGTATGTTTCCAACATGGCAATTTTTTAGGGGACTACCCAAGGGTCTAGTTTTTGTCTCACCTGTCTTGGGTTGCTGATAAGACCTGGCATATGCTAGATGCCTGCGAGCTGCTAAGAACAAAGAGCTGACTGGCTTGTAATAGCTTCAGAGAATCTGCAGTACTGCAGACAGAACTCAGAGGGAGCAAGTGAGTATGAGTTCCTGAAAAAAGAAACCGACAAATCACTTTAATTGGTAATTCATGCACATAAATTTAGAGAAGATGCATCTACAGAAAAGATTTGAGCAGCCTTCAGAATCTGTAGCCAAACTGATTGGTGAAGGTCTTTCCCTGTGTAAAGCCAATCTGTAAAGACTGAAAGAGGTGGCTGTTTTTATTAATGTACAAAACTAACACAAAACTACAAGGCATTCAAAAAAAACAGAATCATGGCCCAATCAAAGGAGCAAAATAAATCTCTAGAAACTGTCCCTAAAGATACAGAATTACCTGACAATGAATTCAATATAACCATTACAAAGATGTTCAATGTGCTTAGGGAAATGATAAACAAACAAAATGAGAATATCCACTTGAACCCAGGAGGTGGAGGTTACAGTGAGACAAGATTGTACCACTGTACTCCAGCCTGGGTGACAGAGCAAGACTAAAAAAAAAAAAAAAAAAGAAAAACAAAAGAAAAGAAAAGAGAATATCAACAAAGAGATAAAAAATATTTTTAAAAAAGAACAAAACAGAAATGTTAGAGCTGAAGAATACAATAACTAATTGATAAATTCACTAGAAAGATTCAATAGCAGACAGAAACAAGCAGAAGAAAGAATCTGTGACCACAAAACAGGTAATTTGAAATTATCTAGTCACGGGAGCAAAATGAAAATAAAATAAAATAAGAATAGTACAGCTTAAGGACTTATCAGACATCATCAAGCAAAAAATGTACACATATTATAAATTATCAGAAGGAGAAGAGAAAGAGAAAGGGGAAGAAGGCTTATTTGAAGAAATAATGGTGGAAAATTCCCCAAATCTGGGGGAGAAAATGTACATTTGGATTCCAGATAGAATGAACTTGAAGACATACACCTAAGCACATTATAATCAAATTGTCAAATATCAAAGACAAAAGAAAATTTGGAAAGCAGAAAGAGAAAAGCAATTTATTATGTACAAGGGATTCCCTGTACATCTATCAGCCAATTTCTCAGCAGAAACATTTCAGGCCAGAAATATTAAGAAGTTACAATGATATATTCAAAGAACCAAAAGAATATAATCATAAACCAAGAATACTAAATCCAGCAAAACTGCCTTTCTAAA
This sequence comes from Homo sapiens, assembly GCF_000001405.40. Lineage (NCBI taxonomy): Eukaryota > Metazoa > Chordata > Mammalia > Primates > Hominidae > Homo > Homo sapiens. Next base: position 137,332 of record NW_003315907.2, on the reverse strand, counting down.
TTGAAAGATAAATGAAGATGGACCCAGATAAACAAAAGCAGGTAGGGGATAGCGGGGTGTTATTGCCACTAGACGTGCCTTAAAAAAAAGTGCTAAAAGGAGTCCTTCAAGTTGAAATGAAAGGATGCTAAACAGCTACACAAAACTGTATGAAAGCATAAAGTAAAAGTAAATACATAAACAAATGCTGAATACAGTCACACTGCATTGGCAATGTATAAATAACTTTTAATTATGGTATAGAAGTTAGAAGAAAAAGGTATAGAAAAACAACTGTAACTATAAAAATATACTAATGGGTCTGGGTGCAGTGGCTCACACCTGTAATCCCAGCACTTTGGGAGGCCGAGGCGGGTGGATCACCTGAGGTCAGGAGTTCAAGACCAGCCTGGCAAACATGACAAAACCCCGCCTCTACTAAAAATTCAAAAATTAGTCAGGTGTGGTGGTGGGCACCTTTAATCCCAGCTACTCAGGAGTCCGAGGCAGGAGAATCGCTTGAACCTGGGCAGCAGAGGTTGCAGTGAGCCGAGATCGTGCTATTGCACTCCAGCCTGGGCAACAGAGTGAGACTCCGCCTCAACAACAAAAAAAAATGTGCTAATGGATACACAATATAAAAAGTTGTAATTTGTGACATCAATAGCATAAAGTTTGTGCAAGTAGGAGAAGTAGAGTTTGGTATGTGATTAAAGTTAAGTTGTTATCAGCTTGAAATAGATTGTTATGTTTTCTGGAAGCCCCATGGTAATCACAAAGAAAATACCTATAGAAGATTTACAAAATAATACAAGAGATGAATCAAAGCATGTCACTACAAAAAATTAACAAAATATAAAGGAAGATGGCAAGAAAGAAAAAGAGGAACAAAAAAGTACAAGACAGAGAGAAAACAATTAACAAAATAGCAATATAAGTCCTTCTTTATCAGCAGTTCTTTTAGATGACAATAGGTTCAACTAGCCAATTAAAAGACAATGACTAAATAGATAATAAAATAAAATAAACAAGATGAAACTACAGGTTGAGTATCCTGTATCCAAAATGCTCAAGACCAGAAGTGTTTTCAATTTCAGATTATTTTGGATTTTGGAATATTTACATTATACTTACCAGGTAAGCATCTAAAATTTGAAAATACAAAGTCTTTAATGCTCCAATTAGCATCTTCTTGCAACATCATATCAGCCCTAAAATAGTTGAGTATTTTGGAGCATTTCAAATTTTGAATTTTTGAATTGGAGATGCTTTTACTGTAAATGTTGTCTACAAAAATCTCACTTTAAATTTAAGGACATATAGGCTGAAAGTGAAAGGATGGAACAAGATTCTATGCAAATAATAACCAAAAGAGGGAAGGAGTGGCCATGCTTATATCCAACAAAATAGACTTTAAGTCAAAAACTGTACAAGAGGCAGAGGAAGGAATTATATAATGATAAAAGGGTAAACTCACCAGGAATATAAAACAACTATAAATATATATGCCCTCAATATCAGAACACTCAAATATATGAAGCAAACATTCACAGAATTGATAGGAAAAATAGATAACAACACAATAACAGTAGGAGATTCCAATACCCCTCTTTTAATAATGAATAGAACATCAAGGGTAGAGATCATTAAGGAAACACAGGACTTAGCAGTATACCAAATGGATCTAATGAATATATACAGAGCAAACCATCCAACAGCAGCAGAATACACATTATTCTGAAGTGCACATGTAACATTCTTCAAGAAATATCACGTGTTAGCTCACAAAACACATCTTAATAAACTTAAGAAGGTAGAAATCATACCAAATTTCTTTTCCAACCGTAATGAACTAAAACTAAAAATCAAGAGCAAAAGGAAAACTTAAAAAAAATCACAAATATATGAAAATTAAACAACACACTCTGGAGTAAGCAACCAGTCAAAGAAGAAATCAAAAGGGAAATTGGAAAATAGCTAAGATAAAAATGAAAACACAACATATCAAAACATATAGGAAGCACCAAAAACAATACTAAAAGGCAAATTTATAGCAGTAATGCCTACGGTAAAAAGGAAGAAAGAGTTCAAATAAGCAACCTAATTTTATATCTCAAGGAACTAGAAAGAAGAAGACAATAAGCCCAAAGTAGCAGAAGGGAGAAAATGAAAAAGATTAGGAATATGTGAAACAAACAAAAGAAAAGAAAAGCAACAGAAAAATTCATAACTAAGACTTGATTCTTTCCAAAAGATCACCAGATTGTCAAAGTTTAGCTGGACTGAAAGTAAAACAGAAGACTCAAATAAATATAATCAGAAATTTAAAAAGAAGACATTGCAACTGATACCATAGAGATAAAGAGGGTTATTAGAGATGACTGTAAATAATATACCAATATATTGGATAACCTAGAAGAAATAAACTCCTGGAAACATACAAACCACCATGACAGAATGATGAAGAAATAGAAAATCTGAACAGACCTATGACTAGTAAGATTGAATAAGTTTTCCAAAAGCTCTCAAAAAACTAAAGCCCAGGAGCAGATAGCTTCACTGAGAATTCTGTTGAACATTTAAATAAAAATTAATGAAAATCCTTCTCAAACTTTTCCAAAAAAATTAAAGAGGAGGGAATATTTTCAAATGTGTTTTATGAAGCCAGCATTACCCTGATACCAAACTAAGACAAAGACACTACAAGAAAAGAAAATTACAGGCCAATATCCCTGATGAATATAGATGCAAATGATCATCAACAAAGTATTATTAATAGCAAATGAAATCCAAAAGTATATTGAAAGTATCATGCACCATGACCAAGTGGGATTTATTCCTGGAATGCAGGGATAATTCAGCATACAAAAACCAATCGATGTTATATACCATCTTAACAGAACGAAGGATAAAAATTACATGATCACCTCAATTGATGCAGAGAAAACATTGGACAAAATTTCACACACTTTTATGATAAAATACTCACTAAACTATGAATAGAAGTAAATTATCTCAGTGTAATTAAAAACCATATATAAAAATCTCATAGCTAACACTATACTCAGTGGTGAAAAACTGAAAGCTTTTCCTCTAAGATTAGAAACAAGGTAAGCATGCCCATCTTACCATTTGTATTCAACATAGTACTAGTAGTCTTAACTAGAGCAATTAGGCAACAAAAATAAATAAAATGCATTCAAATTCAAAATAAAGAAGTAAAATTACCTTTGTTTGCAGATGACATGGTCTTATACGTAGAAAATGCTAAAAATCACACCAAAAACCTGTTAGAAATAATAAAAAAATTCATCAAAGTTGCAGAATACAAAATCAGCATACAAAAATCAATTGCATTTCTATACACTAACACTGAGCAGTTCAAAAAGGAAATGAAAACAATCTTATTCACAATAGCATTAAAAAGACTAAAATACTTAAGAATAAACTCAGTCAATGAGGAAAAAGACTTGTATACTGAGAACTACACAACACTGCTGAAAAATTAAAGACACAAATAAATGGAAAGATATCCCATGTTCTTGGATTGGAAGACTAAATATTGTTAAAATATCAATACTATTCAAACTGATCTACACAGTAATGCTGTCTTATTCAAAATTCCAGTGTTTTTTTTCGTAGAAAACCCCATCTTAAAATTCATATGGAATCACAAAAGACCCCTGAATAGTCAAAACAATCTTGAGAAAGAAGAATGAAGCTGGCAGACTAATACTTCCTGACTCAAAACACATTACAAAGCTACAGTAATCAAAGCAGTATGACACCAGCAAAAATGCAGACATTAGATTAATGGAACTGAATACAAGCCCAAAAACAAACTCACACATATACAATCAAAAGATATTTTTGCAAGGAAGCCAAGATTACACAATGGAGAAAGGGCAGTCTCTTCAACAAATGGTGTTGGAGAAACTGGATATTCATATGCAAAACAATACATTTGGACTCATACCACACACACACAAAAAAAACTCAAAAAAGGATTAAAGACTTAAATGTAAGAGCTGCAACTATAAATCTCCTAAAAGAAAACATAGGAGAAAACTTCATAACATTGTTCTTGGTAAGAATTTCTTAGATATGTCACTAGAAGTACAGACAACAACAAGAAGAAATAAACAAGTGGGACTATATCAAACTAAAGAGCGTCTACACAAGGAAAACCATCAACAGAGAGAAAAGGCAACCTATGGAATGAGGGGAAACATTTGCAAACCATATGTATTAGTCATGGTTCTCCAGAGAAACAGAATCAATAGGAAATCTATAGATAGATATTTGAAAAGGGATTTGTTACAGGAATTAGCTCACGTAATTAAGGAGGCTGTGAAGTCCCACAGTATTCTGGCCTGAAAGCTGGAGAGTCACGGAAGCCAGTAGCATGGCTCCATTCAAGTCCAAATGCCTGAGAACAAGAGGAGCCAATGGTATAACTCTCAGTCTGAGACCAAAGCCCTGAGAAACTGGGGTCTCCAGTGCAAGCTCCAGAAACCTAAGGTTAGAGAACCTTAACTTCTAGTATCTAGGGCTGAAGAAGATGGGTGTTCAGTTTCAGAAGAGAGAGAGCATGAACTTGCCTTCCTCTGCTTCTTTGTTTATCTAGGTGGCCTCAGCCTAAATTGGATGGTGCCTGCCAATGCTGGGCGAGTTCAGATCTTCTTTATTCAATTCATTAATTGGCATACTAATCTCTTCTAAAAACACCCTCATAGACATACCCAGAAATAATGCTTTACTAACTACTTGGGTATTCCTTAATTCAGTCAAGTTGGCATCTAAAATTAAACATCACATCATATATCTGATAAGGGGTTAATATCCAAAATATATAAGGAATGCCTACAACTCAATAGCAGGAAAAAAAGCCAATTTAAAAATGCACAAAGGATTTAAATAGACATTTTTCTGAGACTACATACAAATGATTACCAGGTATATGGAAAGAATTCCAACATCATAAAGTATTAAGAAACTGCAAACAAAACCACAATCAGATATCACACCACACTTGTTAGAATGAAACAAAAAAAAAACTGAAAATAAAAAGTGTTGATGAGGATTGTTAGTGGGAATGTAAAATGGTGTGGCCACCATAGAAAACTGTATGGAGGTTACTCGAAAAATTTTTAAAAGAACCAAAATATGATCCAGCACTCTCACTTCTTGGTATTTATCCAAAAAATTGAAAACAGGATCTTGAAGCAATATTTGTACTTTCATATTCATTGCAGTATCCTTCACAATAGCCAAGATGTATAAACAACCTAAATGTCCATTGGTGGATAAAGGGATAAACAACATGTATTATGTACCACCAATGGAATACTAATTAGCCTTAGAAAAGAAGGTAATGCTGTCATATGCTACACCATGGCTGAACCTTCAGGGCATTATGCACAGTGAAATAAGCCAGTCACAGAAGGGCAAATACTGCGTGGTTCCACTTATATGAAGTAATCAAAGAGGTCAAACTCATAGAAATGAAAAGTAGAATGGTAGTTGCCAGGGTCTGGGGAAGGGGGAAATGGGCATTTGCTATTCAAATGGCATAGAGTTTCAGTCATGCAAGATGAAAAAGTTCTAGAAATCTGCTGTACAACAATGTGCACATAGATAACAATTCTGTACTTAACAATGTTTAAAGAGAGTAAATTTCATGATATGTATTTATTTTTTTTGAGATGGAGTCTCATTCTGTCACCCAGGCTGGAGTGCAGTGACACAATCTCGGCTCACTGCAACCTCCACCTCCTGGGTTCAAGGAATTCTCCTGCCTCAGCCTCCCAAGTAACTGGGACTACAGGAGCATGCTCTCTGCTCGGCTATTTTTTGTATTTTAGTAGAGACGGGGTTTCACCCTGTTGCCCAGGATGGTCTTGAACTCCTGAGCTCAGGCAATCCGCCCGCCTCAGCCTCCCAAAGTGCTAGGATTACACGTGTGAGTCACCATGCCCAGCCCAGTGATATGTATTTTTAACCACAATCATAACATAAAAAGTTTAAGACACTTTGGTGAAGGTGGATATTTTTGTGCTTTTTGAGACAGAAAAAAAAGTACAGGAGATCATGTCAGATGTGAGTATGTCCTGTATGGGACACTGAAAGGAGAAAATTGCATAAGAATGAAATTGAGATGACACTATACATGTAGATTCTACTGAATTATTAATTATAAAATAAGTAGCACAACTTTTATATTTTAAAGCTTAAAATTTCCTACTATTAAAAATATTACTACTAAGATTTATTATAAACTATTCTTACATATGTTTCCTTTCTGACTGTATCAATCCATTTTCATGCTGCTGATAAAGACATACCTGAGACTGGATAATTTGTAAAGAAAGAGAGGTTTAATGGACTCACAGTTACACATGGCTGGGGAGGCCTCACAATCATGGCAGAAGGCAAAAGGCATGTCTTACATGGTGGCAGACAAGAACAAATGGGAGCCAAGTGAAAGGGGAAACCTTTTATAAAACCATTAGATCTTGTGAGACTTATTCACTACCATGAGAACAGTAATATGGGGTATTCGCTCCCATGATTCAATTATCTCCCACTGGATCCCTCCCACAACATGTGGGCATTCTGGGAACTAAAATTCAAGATGAGATTTGGGTGGAGACACAGCCAAACCATATCACTGACCAAATAAAACCAATAAAATTTTCACAGGCAAGGCCTACTAGTTGATTCCTCTTCTTCTACAGTATATTTTTATCCTTTGGTCAGTTATTCATGTGTGTGTGTGTGTGTGTGTCTTTATTTTTGACCATATCTCTACTCTTAATATTCTCAGTATTTGCCATTTTTCTTCCTCTTCACAGATCCTTTACAGTATCTCTTTACTATATATTTGCAAACAGTTTTTCTTTTCATCCTTGGTGGTTCCAGAGGCCTTTCTCATAGTCTATTAAAAGGCCAGGGTAGAGGACTGGGAAGCAAAGTAGATGTTTAAGTCAGACATCTCTTAGTTGAAATCCAGGCTCTGTCACATCACACAAGCTAGCCCTCTGCAAGTCACCATACTTCTCCAAAATTGAACTGACTCATTTTAAAAAACAGAATAAATAATGCCTAACTCACAATTTTTCTATAAATATAAAGCAAAAACTAAATAAAGAGCCTAGTATGATCTCCATTGAGGAAGCAACTTTTCTTCTACTTTAGAGCTCTGCTGGTTTACATAAGAGCAATTTACATAAGATATTCCACAAGACAGTTCTGTTTTCTCCAAGTTCTATTTCTGGGAACCTTTCAAGTATCTTGAAATTCTCAAGTCCTACATACAGAGTTCCTTGATAATTGTATATGGGTCTCCAGGTTTTCCTTTTTAAGTTGTTGACTTTCATCTTCCACTCTGCCATCTTCATTACCGTGTCCTTTTCTTGGGTTGCCAAGTATTCTTTTCTTTTTTATAATATCATTTTTGTTTCAATGGAATACTGTATTTCCACTGATCATATAACATAGGAAATAAAATACAAAATTCAACCTTGGTTTGCTGGGATCCTCTCCTTTCTTCAAGAACCACATTATAACATAAGGCAATTGTAGATTAGTCCTGCTCATCATTTCTTCCAGATTTGTATTCCATTTTCTCACTCAGACATTCCTGTGGCTATGTAGGATTACCAACATATTCCCATCCCTACATCAGATGTAACAATAGTAGGAGCCAGCCACAAAAAAATTTACAGGAAAATCTCCCCCTTCATCGCACAAAAAAGAGCAATTGTTTTTTTATTTTCTATTTTTTAGTTTCATCTTGTTATTTTTTTCCTTTTTTAAAACTGTATTCATCTTATATTGGTTTTAAATCCCTGGAGCTTTCTCCTGATTATAGAAGTAATATATACTTGCTTTATTTTAATTTCCTAATTTCCTTTTGCATCTTATTTCCCCCTAATTCAAATGGTCATAAGTCTCACTAAATGCCTCCACAGATACCTTTATTAGGATAATTCCATTTCTCCCCATTTTCATGCCTTTAATAATACAATATATAACTTTAACAGTCAAGTATAATTTTAATAACTTTTTTATTTTCCACCATTTATTTGGTTTTATATATTTACTAGATTTTCTTTATTTCCTCTTAACAGCTTTACATGTTTGCACCTCATCTTCTATTTTTGTTAAAGAAACGTAATCTTCTACTTACAAAGTTATTATTTTCACTATTTTACAGAACAAAAAATTGAGGCCTCAAAAGGTTAGAAAAAACTTTCCCAAGATTACATAGCTAAATTTGTGGAGCTGGAATTTAAGCTCATGCCTGTGGATTTCATAACCCAGTATCTACTACACTAAACAGCCTCAGACAGGCAACTCCACCTAAAGCAAGCCTGGGGCACAGGTAAAGAGGAATGCTGTTCCCAGAAGGGTTTCTAAAGCATCTACATGAAAATGAAGAATGTGCAACACCTTATCTTAGAGATTATTCATTTACTGAGTTCAGGTCAGGGCTGATAGCCAGGCATAGCAGCTTCTTGAAACTTTTGAGAAAGAGCTAGAGTCATTTTAAATGGAAGAAGTAAGCACCATAAAAAAACAGAAAATAGAAACTATGGCTCTAGTCAACCTACTGTGAACCTTAGAATATTCATGATTCTGGGCACATAAAATCTGGCTTCCAGAAACATATCAGAAAAGATTCACACCTCTTTTTGACTTAGATAAAATTAAATTTATTTCTTGCAATTTTCCTTTTTCTGTAACTTTTTGTTTGGAAATGCAGCCACAGGCATAAATTTTCATATCCCAACAGGCTCCACAAACTGAAGACAATCTAAGTTTAGCAGTCATATTCATATTCAAATCTATTCCTTTACTAATTCCACAGATATTGCCAGGTATTTGATCATAGTTACTTGAGATACAACAGTGGAAAACAGTCCCAGATCCCTCACCTCATTGAGTTTATATTCTAGCAGGAAGACAAGACAAGGTTTTAAAAAATGTAAAAAACTAAGTTATATTTTCAAGTTAGAAGGTGATGAATGTTATGAGAATTCCTAGAAGTTGTAGAGCAGGATGTATTATTCAGTATGGTTGGCCTCATTGTGTAGGTGACATTCATGCAAAACTTGAAGAAGAGGAGGTCAAGGCGATTTTTGGCATATGATAGATTGCAATTTTGTCTAAAACATATCATGCCTCTCTTTTTGAGATTATAAATTCCTGACCAATTGACATAAATTCCTGCCCACAACTTTTTTAGCTAAAGAAATGTGATTGGGATGATGTATCCATTTCCAAGAAGCTTTAAGAGCCACATTCTTTCATGTTTTCCCACATTTCCTTTTTATCTGCCACTAGATTTTTAATGTCCAGATAAGGGCTCATCCTTTGGCCTGGGTACAATCCTAGCACAATTTGGAAAGCTATTGGTGGTGAAACTTTGGCAAAATATAAATCTTTGTTTTTATGTGCCATGAAGATTTGGGATTCTTCTAAGCTCCCTCATGCCTACACAAGAGCTTTCAGGAAGAGGAAACAACTTAAGCAAAGGCCCTGAGGCGGGAGCATGCCTAGTGTGATTGAGGAACAGAAACAGGTCAGAAAAGTAGAAGTAGAGTGAGAAGTGGGAGATTAGCAGGAGAGACATTCAAAAATAAAACTACAGCATGTAGCCCATGGTAGGAAATTTGGCTTTCACACTGAATAAACTGATGAGTCATCCGATCTAAGTAGAAGAGTGAAATGGTCTGATTTCAGTGTTCAAAGGATCACTTTGCTCTATTGAAAATAAACTAAAGCATGATAAGGACAGTTATTGGTAGAAATCTTGGGAGGCTATCGGCAAGAGATGATGGTGGCAGCAAGGATGAGGGTACCAGCAGTAGCAGAGGTCATGATGAGAAGTTAGATTCTGAAAATCTAATCTGCTCAGTGGAGGGTGGCAGCTGGAGATTCTGGGCACTAGCTGTCATGCTCCCAGGGCTCTGTCTGTGAGGACTGAATAAAGCAGTAACTCATTTGTGTATGTGTATGTGTATGTGTATGTGTATGTGTATGTGTATGTGTATGTATGCATGTGTATGTATGTGGACACAGTGAAGAGGCAACAAAGACAAAGCAGACAGTCTAGGGCTCAGAGCAAACACAAGGCAGACAGTCCAGGGCTTAGAGTAATTTTGGGACAAATAAAAAACAAAATTGTAACCAGAAACCAGAATAAGTGTCGAGGAATTGAACTGTCACATATTTTGAGAACTAAAGAAAAGCCATACTCAGAGGCATATAGTTGCCCCAGGACGTACTTTATACCCAAAGATTCACCTACGCCCACTAGGAGTTAACAACCCCTATCAGGACTCATGTATTCCACAGATGCTAAGATGCCATAGTTACAAAAGCTCCAGATTCTACCTTGGCTGCTCTGGATCACGGAAAATTCCTGTGCCTATGCCAGCAGCTGGGGTTGTCAAAGCTGACTTGGACTCTGGGCATGGTGGCTCATGCTTGTAATCCCAGCAGTTTGGGAGGCCAAGGCAGGGAGATTGCTTGAGTACAGGAGTCCAAGATCAGCCTGGGCAACATGGTGAGATGCCATCCCTGCAAAAAATAAAAAATAAGCTGGGCTCAGTGGCCTACACCTGTAGTACTAGGGAGGCTTAGGTGGAAGGATCACTTGAACCCAGGAGGTCAAACCTGCACTGCAGCCTGAGCAAGAGCAAGACCATGGCTTAAAAAAAAAAAAAAAAATTAAAACATAAAAAAAAGCTGATTTGGTATGACTCATCCTTAGTTGTCTAACCGCAAATAAAATAAATATCTCTTAAGCATTCTTCTTCACAAAGCTCATGATTTCTCTTACAATTATTCATTCAGTTAACAAGTATTAAACACCAACGATAATTAGAACCCAGTCTAGGAGCTGGAATTAAAAACATAAACAAGAAAATACAACATGTCTACCTATCTTGAAAAATTCTTCATCAAATGTGAAACCAGCATGGGAATGGAAAATGGTACCACAATATGATGGAAGTATAGGAACGCTGTGGATGCAGTGCTGCAGCAGTGGAGAGGTGGAGACACGGCAGCAAGAGGGGAAAGGCATCTCCAGGAAGGTAGCAATTGAGCAGACCTCAAAGGTTAAGGAGGAATTTGCTAATAAAAGGGATGGGAGGTATGTAAAACCAGAAAACAGAATAAATGTCTAGGTTAGGCCATGTCATTTTGTTAGCTCTTTTTGGTAAAAATTTTATAAACAAGATCCAATTGAAAACTGAAAACTAATATTTTGTCATGTCATCGACATCCAATTTTAAATTCTCTATATCATCTTTTATAAGTACTATAGTCTTTATCAATTGGATGAATTATTTCACCTTTCCCTATTTACTTGTCACTGAAACAAGAAACCAAAATTTTCCGCATAGGTGCTTAAAAGTGCATAGAATCTAAAGTGAGAACTTTGGACCAGAGAACATTCCCACTCCATCAATCCCACCATGGTCCTTACTTCCAGACCAGTCTGCTGTTAATGCATTGGCTTCTCCAGGCTTTCATGTGGCATTAACCCACATTCTTTCCTCTCTCTGAGCACCTTTTCTCTCTCTGGAGCAACGTTCTAAAGACATTATTCACAACTTCTCTTTCCTAATCTGTCAGCTTTAATCCTATAAACCGACCACCACAAATACTTAAGGATGTCTGAAAGCTGTGCTTTTATCCTTGTTCAAATTTTTTATCTCCATATGTCACCTTAACCTTGTCTTACAAAAGCTTATCTCATTTTACTATTTTTAATACAATTTATACATTGAGTGTTTTAAATCCATCCACACTATCAATCATTTCAGCAGCTATTCATATTTATTTTGTTCTTTATGGTCAACTTTCCTCCTTTTTAGAATGTTTTCTATCTTCATATTTTACAGCATCGCATTCTCTATCACTATTCTCTGGTATCATGAAAAAATGAGCAAGACTTCTGATTTCTGGGTTATGTATTTCTAATACCATCCTTTTTTTATCAGTAATTTGCTCATCTTCTATAGATTTCTGCCAAGTTTCTAAGTTTTTAAGACATTAATGTTAGAGAAGAAGAAATCTTTCACTTTGTTTACCATCTCTCTTCCTTTGGTTCACTACCCTTATCCATTAAATGGGCCCCTTTTTCCCATTGGTAAAAAGAATAAATCTTAGCCTTTCACTGTGAACCTCATTGTTAGCATTTCTACAGGAACCAAATCATAGGAAGTTTTCTTTTACCAGTACATCTTTATGGCAGCGGCGGGCCATTCAAAGTGGCCACTGCCATCACACCGACTGCAGTGGGGAGGCGTAGGCCGTGGCAGCAGGACCAGGTGTGAGAGCAGCAGTGGCAGCACTGGAACCCCTGTGCCCTCTGTCCCTGAGGCATCCACCTGCGCCATCCCAACCCTCGTGTGGCCAGGGGGACCCTCTCCCAGAACCGGAGCCTCTGCCTCTTTGGACCCTGGCCCCATGACACCACTCTTGCCTGCCACTGCTGTGGGGAGGGTGCAGGGAGGAGGTAGACAGTCACCGGAGGTCACCCCTGAGATCCTGCTGCCCTGAGAGCTGCCATGTTGGGGCTGGGCCGAGCCACCCACCGGCGGGACAGCAGCTTGGTCTGGCACAGAGGAACAGGCAGAGAAGGGACCAGCGAGGACATGGAGCCCCTGCCCCAGGCAGCAAGGAGGCACGGCTGGGGCTGCAGGCTCCATGGAGCCGGTAGCTCTGCCGCTTCCAAGTTCGCAGGGCGGGAGCTCCCCAGCGCAGCTACAGCCGCCATGCTGGCTCCAGACCCAGGCATCTCTGTGCACTTGGGAACCAGGAAGTCTCCCACCCCTAACCCTGTAGAGGCTCAAAAGTGCCTGCTCCTGCTGCCTGGCTTCCTCAGCTGTTGAGGCTGGCTTCAATCTCAGAGCAAAGCAAACTCGGGGGTAGCGCAGGCACTGTTGCTGCCTGATTGGGTATGCACATGCTAGGGGCTACACTGATATGCCAGCTCATTGCCACCTCAACCCGCTCCAGACTTTGGCCGACAACAAGCACAGGAAGGAGGCCAAGGGGGTGTTGAGAACAGCATGTTGCTGGCCTGCAGGCACCCCTTGGCATGAACAGCCTGGGCGCCATAAACAGGAGCAGGAGGCAGATAGGCTCCTGGGCAGAAGGGGGTTGGTCCCCAGTGAAGCCCCACCTTCAAACCAGGGAGGGCCTGAAGCCTGGGGTCCAGGGCACCAGTCTTCAGAGACCAGGAGGGGAACTTGTGGTCCTTTTCCCTGGGTCTGCCCATGGCTGCCCATGGGCATGTACTTCCTCCCCTCTGAGGTCCACAAATCCCCAGACTCAGCCAGGCTCAAGCAGAGGATGGAGAGTCAATAGGGAGACAATGGGGAGACAATTGGCTGACCAGCTGCAAAGAGAAACTAACCTCTCTGCTGAGAGCTGGACTCTTGTTGGATGACCTGCCTAGTAGAGAGGAGCAACCCTCTCTGCTGAGAGCCAAACACTTGTCAGGACACCCTGGCTATGGAGAGGAGCTGCCCACTGTGGGTCTCCTCTGAGCTGTTCTATTGATCAATAAAGTTCCTCTTCATCTTGCTCACCCACCACTTGTCTGCTGTACCTCACTCTTCCTGGGTACAGGACAAGAACTTGGGACCTGCCGAATGGCAGGGTAAAAGAGCTATAACACAAACAGGGCTGAAACACGCCCCTTGCTCACCACATCTGTGGGCAACAAGAAGGAGAGAAGTGCTGCGGCCCTTCAGGGGCCTAGACCTGGGAGCTCCCCAAGCCAGGGCTGTGACTCCCCCTTTGGGGCTCTGTGGTTCCTGGAGTCTCCAAGCATCCAGGCATCACCACATTCCACAGTGCCAGCCATGGATGCTGCTTGCGGTGCGCCTGGTCCTGCTGTAGCCTTGCAATGAGCCAGCACCTATGGTGGCACCTAGAGCTGCCCGCCTCACTGCAGCAGCCGTGTCTGACTGTGCGCAGTGGCCGGACCCCATGCTCACTCGCTCGGATACCCTTGCTGCTCTGCTCTAGCCTCTTCAGAGGCATGGGATCCAGGACAGTAGTGTGAGCCAAGCACAGCCTGCCAAAACAAGTAAGCCCAGTGGGCCCAAGCAAAATTTGGGTGAAGGTGCCACCATCCACAGAGGTTTCTGACCAGAAAAGCAATACCCCCAAGGATCCCATAACAATTTCACTTTGAAACACAATGTCTTTTTCAAAAGCTTGAAATATTGAGTTTCTTTGGTGTGTGTGCAATAGCTCAGCTTAAGCATTTCCTTAAAACCTCTAGTAAATTCCAAAGAAACTAGTAACTTGGATGTTTCTGTGCACATCTAATGAATCACAAACTTGGCTTTGAGTTTTCAACTGTGATTTATATGATCTGGGATACCAGGGATGTTGGTGGTTGTCTTGTCTTTTATGTCTCACTACAGACGTAACTAAAAAGATGAATTAGGGATGCTTAGATTAGGAATTTAAAAGCAAGTTTTGAGAATGTTTGTCCAGAAGGTTGAGAAGAATCAAAAGAATGATGGGTGCTACAAGTATTCTGAGTGTTAAAATAAAATGGATATTATTAAATTTCTTATAAGTAGAGGTCTATGCAATGTAAATATAGAATATATTATGTAAATATAGAATATACAATGTAAATATAGCCTATATTTACATTGTAATAAATATACAATGTAAATATAGGCTATATTTACATTGTAATAAATATACAATGTAAATATAGGCTATATTTACATTGTAATAAATATACAATGTAAATATAGAAAACCTATATTTACATTGTAATAACTGCTCACATTTTAAATAGTAATTGTCTTCCAATTGTTTTGTTATTAAAAATTTGGCAACCTGGGCAAAATTTCATTGTCTGTTTGTAACACTCATGATGCATTTTGCATAAGTTCCCCACCACTCCCCACAACATACACCTTTTGGCTTGTCTTAATAAACACAAACACGAAATCGGTTGAGTAATTTGTAATGATTATAGAATTGTACTTTTAACATACATATGTAAATAAGTAGTGATCAATCCTATTTCATACATTTGGAAATATTTAAATCCACAGATCACATTTTGGTTATTTTTAGGACTATTCCTATCATCTTTTCCTGTGTCTCAGTTGAAACACCTTCTCGTATCTTTTATAAAACTATTTCCTACATTTTCTTTCTGATCTTCTTTCATCTTTTTATCATAACCATAAGCATGTTTTCAATCTGTGTCTCATATTGAGCTGCAGAGTTTGGTTGAAAGAACCTGGAGTAGGAATCTGAAGTTCCAGGTCCTAGTCTGACTCCACATTTTCAACAATATTTATAAAGCAACAATAGTATAATCCTACACTTTAGTAAGTTCTTTATACACATTTTTCAATCTTCATAGCAATCATATAGAAAAGTACCATTCTTCCCATTTTTGAGGTGACAAAGCTAAAGTCCAGAGAGATTAGATAATTCGTTCAATGTCACAGAACTAGCAACTTTAAAACAGGGACTCAAACATAAGTGTGCATAATTCCAAAGAACATCGCCTAAATTGCCTCATTTGTTATGTGACCTTGTGATTTCCTTTTTCTTGTTTGGAAAACTGGCAACCACCGGAGGAGCTTCCTGCCTGCTTCCTACAGTTGGTAAGATTCAGTGTTTGACATATGCTAGAAGTTAGAATACCCATTCTGTTATCCTTTAAATGCCTTACATATGCACAGTTTGAAAATCTTTATTCTGATGATAATCTTGTCCAGAAGGCATCTTTTATTTTTGGCCACTTATAAATCCTAAATCCAGGACCTGGGTCTAAAATAAATTTTACTCCTTATATTCAGCCTTTTGATTCATATTAAATGAAGACCATGTTTTTCTGCTTTCCGAGTTTCATATGCTGCATCTCTAGTGGCTATATAGTAAAGTATCAAAATATATTTCTACTTTAAGCTGTACTGGCTCCAATTTTGTAAAATTTTATGTTGAATTCTTCGAAGGCTCGTTTCCTTTCTTACTTCTTAGGTGTGAAGCTTTAGCCTTGGCTCTGGCTAGATGGCCCTCCCTCTGTCTGTCCTGGGCCTAGGTCCCGTCTACAGAAGGCCTATTGTTCTCATTTTCCTTTGCTTTTCCCTCCATTCAGTTCTATGATGCTTTTCCTCCTCTTGGCTTTTCATCCTGGGATTCAGACAAAGCTCCCTCTCATGAAGTGCTCTCTATCTTCATGAGCCATCTTCTTCCTGCTGCTCTCTTGGTACAACCTCTTATTTACCCTCAGCTATTGTATCTGTTTTCCTTTGTTTTCCTACTGCAACCAGAATTCTATATTCTTTATTTTTCTCCCGCACTTCAAAAAGCCTCCTCTTTCCGCGTTCTCTCCCCTCCCGGCCTCAGCCCCAGGAGCCTCCCTGCATTCAGGTGGGCTGATCAGACTTGCTCCAGTGCTTTCTAGCAGACCCTTTCATTCCAGGGCCTAGGAGGGCACAGCTGCTTCTGAATCCCTTTTATTATAACAAGCTATGGGGAAATTTGTCCTTTTTCACCATAGAGGTTACAAAGTATCACTCTGAATGAGGACCTCTACTATGTCCTTACTCTCCAAACCCAAATCACTTCTCCACAGCACAGCAAGTAAAATGATAATAGCCTCACTCACATGTATAGGAGATTTTTGGCTCTACCCTATAAAAGGCAGAACTCTTCTATTTTCTTACCAGAAAAGTTACTTGTGATTAGTTATTAAATGTTTGGCTTAATTCCTCTCCCTTTGCTAATGCTTCTTTTTCCTCTCTTTCTTAAGAACTCTCCCCACTTGATGTTTTCTCTCCCTGGTCCCCAACAAACCCAGTACCTTAGTCCATGAAAATTTCTCTACATTCTCAGACTTGTACTCCTACTGCAGAATTTCCCTCTACATTCCTGGGTTACAGATGATAATAGCTGTGTATAAGTTGGATTTAATCAATCTTGAGGGCTTTTGAAATCTAAAAGAGGAACTGGTTGGCCAAATTGTCTCTACGATCCAGAATAAGAACTGAACAATTGTCTTGCCATGTTTTTGGGACTGGTATATACTCATGGGGTCTCCTGCCTGCCAAGCAGTGGAGCTGCACTGTCTACAGCCTCTTCTTTTCATTTGGCATCTACCCATATCTCTCAGGACTTGGCTAGTATAAAAAATAAGGAAGATTTGAACCAAGAATTGTGACTGATCAAATAAGAGTCTCTAGTGTAGTTCTAGTGCAGGACAAGGGCAGGGAAGGAGAAGAGGAGGACAGATAGCAGCACAGAAGTTGAAAGACAGAGTTTAGTTTTTTTCAGTTAACAGGGCTCTTTATTGTTTCTGAGAAACAACATTTCTGATGAGCTCATTTTAGAGTAAAAATTCATAGGTTTTATATTTCACTCCAAAATGTTTCTTGACAGTATGGTGGCTTGCAAAGATGCAAATTTCACCCCAAAATACAACATTATTCTGTAATAATATAGTAGGATAATATTTTAAAGAGACTATATATTAGAAAACAGAAATTCAACAAGAAGAGTATTCTTGTTTATAATTTAATAATACTTTCTTCTTGTTGTTGTTGTTATTGTTTTTGATGGAGTCTCACCCTGTCACCCAGGCTGGAGTGCAGTAGTGTAATCTCAGCTCACTGCAACCCCTGCTTCCTGGGTTCAAGCGATTCTCCTGCCTCAGCCTCCCGAGTAGCTGGGATTACAGGCACCTGCCACCATGTCCAGCTAATTTTTGTTATTTGTAGTAGAGAGAGGGTTTCGTCATGTTAGCCAGATTGGTCTCGGACTCCTGACCTCGGGTGATCCACCCACCTTGGCCTCTCAAAATGTTGGGATTATAGGCATGAGCCACCATGCCATGCCCAGCCTAATAATACTTTCTTTGAACATGGCAACAACTATTAAAGCTTATAGAAAATACCAGCACAGGAATTTGAAAATACTAAAATTGGTAAAATTAAAACATTAAAATGTAAACTATGTTTTCTAACTTGTACTATAATTTTGATAATTATTTTTACTTGTATTTCTGTGATACCTTTTTAAAATAAAAAGTATTAAATCTTTAAGATAGAATTCTGGCAGATTATCATTTTGGAAAAGTTTTGAGCACAAGATTGCTTCTTAATACATGTCAGGTTACAGTTAATAAAAGCTTACAAATCATCATAATTTAATACGCAATGTGTCAATGAAGTGATCTGAAAGCAGTTAATTGGCTTAACAAATGGATGTTTAGGTATAGTCAGTCTCATTCTGAAACACCTGTTGAAGGAAATGTTCTGAAAATATATTAGATACTTCTTTGATATATCAAACATTTCAGTCATTTAAGCTTTCCTTTAGTAATGTAACTGAAACATTTTGGTTGTATTTCATGGCTGGAAGTACGGATTAACTGATGGCATTAACCAATTTTGCAGGAATCAGGTCATTCAAACAGCTAGTATCAAAGAATTTCTATAAGCATAGGCACCTCATGTCTCCCTAACATCCCCTCTCCCTCCCTGCAAACCCCTTCTTTTTGTAAGAAATTTATGTGGTTGAGAGAAGTCCTTACAGACCCAACTTCAGGTATGAAGAAACGTACCCAAGACAGCCAACCAGTGCCTTCAATCCTTGGCCACAGATACTGGTATAAGATAGTCATGTGGCCTAATCCTCTCCCATCAGAGTGAATCTTGGGATTTTTTGAACAGTGTATGTTGAGCGGACATAATCCCTAAAATCACTGCAAGCACTTTGCTACTGTGAGGCAAGAGCGCCTGAGAATAAAGCACAGAAAAGAGAGTAAAACCTAGAGATCCTCAGAGAAACAGGCCAAAGCCACTTTGAGCCTTGCCCTACCACTAGATTTCCATTTATTTGAGCCACAATGCCCCTTTTAAAAAAAACTGGCTTGAGTTTGGTTTCTCTTATTTACAGCTTAAATATTTCTTTGAGACATCTCTGATGTCCTTAGAATTCATCTAGGGAGACCATAAGGACTACATGGTGCCCACTCTCAGGAAGTATGCATTATTATTATTATTATTATTATTATTATTATTATTATTATTATCATTATTTGGAGACAGTCTTACTCTGTTGCCCAGGCTGGAGTGCAGTGGCGTGATCTCTGGTCCCTGTAACCTCCACCTCCTGGGTTCAAGCGATTCTCCTGCCTCAGCCTCCCAAGTAAGTGGAATTACAGGCATGTGCCACCTTGCCTGGCTAATTTTTGTATTTTTAGTAGAGACAGGGTTTTGCCATGTTGGACAGGCTGGTCTCAAACTCTTGGCCTCAAGTGATCTGCCCACCTTGGCCTCCCAAAGTGCTGGGATTACAGGTGTGAGCCACTGCACTGAGCCACATTATTCTTAAAGTGTTATGATTTGCAAAATGGTAGTTTATGGCATTGAGGCAGGATAGAATTCAGAGCTAAGTTATTTAATACTGAAGAAGACACAAAGATGTTTAATGGAAAAGAGAGAACAAATACAGCTGTCTCACTATGAACGGACATGGTATCTTGGACAGAGTATCTCTGGGCCTTAAGAGATGGGTGGAATTTGGATGCAAGGTAGACCACATTGAACGGAACACGATGAATGCACAAGGCCAGGAATGGCCATAGGGTACCTATGGGTCAGTGCAGCTATGACTAAAGCACAGAGATTTGTGCTTGGATAGAGTGGGAAATAAGGTCAGCTGGGCTAGATTGCAGGTCTTGAAGAATAGCCAAGGAGACACAAATTTTATTACAGAGCATGAGGAGCCACTACATATATATTTTAAACATAGAACATTTACTGTATCTAATTTTAAAAGATTTACCTACCCATTGAAGAAAAATCAGAAGAAAATAACATATAAAAGGAAAATAAAATTACTTCCAATATCACCACTTAAATATGATTGCTGTTTTCATATGAACACATTTCATCAGCTTTAGTGTGAGTACTTGTATTTAACAAAATTGATGTCATATTTTCTACAGTTTTATATCCTGTTTTCTTATTTAGCACATCAACACATTGTTAATCACTATGAGTATTTCACTATATGACTACTGGATCAATTATTTTGTAATTTCCTATTGTTAGATTAAATAAGTAGAACTGTAATTTTTAGTAGGAAAATATACATTTTGAACAATATTTAAGAAAGTTTATCTTTAGAAGCTTGAATTCTAAATAAAGGGTGTTGAAAAAATCTTGCATCCAGCTAAATATTTATCTCAGTAATCTCAGTCTGAAACATCATAAATCAAAACAAGGCTGAGTATTGAGCAATAAAAAGACATTAAGAAATGTTGAATAATAGTACATGGCATTAATAGGTTATTAGTTATGACAGATAGAAATAAGTTAAAGATGACTAAGACTTGGAGTCTGATTAAAAAAGAAAATTATCATAGAAGGAGGGGTCTAAAAAAGAGCTTTTGAAGAATAGAAACAGTTTTCTTTTAATCATGCTGAAGTGAAATCACCTGAAAACAATCAAGTAGCAATAATACAATAAGCAATGAGGAAATGTAGCCTGAAAATTAGCTGGAGATTAAGACTGGAGATAATATGAGTAGTTATTATTTTATAGCTCCTAGTATGTGTCGATGAATAAGTATTTGGTATAACTTAAGAGGAAAAAAGGCTATCGTACACTCTACCACACGGAACAAAGGCCAAGAAATGGGACACATCTGAGTCTGATGGCAGGAGAAAATGTAGAATCACTTTAGTACTTCTAGATGAATTGGTACCAATCATTTTGTATGCATGTGTGTCATTTAAGTTTTAAAAAATCATTAGTTTGCCCAAAGGTAAATCAATGTGATATTATAGAAGTTGGATGAAACAATACCAGGCACAAAACCAACAGACATCACTACAAAAGACAATCATTCCAGTACCAATAACAGCTAAACTTTATTGAGTGCTTACTCAATGCCAGGCATCGTACCAATTGATTTACATCCTCACAACAGATTTCTAATGTGAATACTTGTAATCGGTTTCCTATGGCTGCTGTAACAAATTCCCATAGATTGGGTTTATTTTCTCACAGTTCTGGAGACCAGTAGTCAGAAATCAGGATTCCAGCAGGGCTGGAGGCTCTATGGCAGAACCCTCCTTGCCTTTTCCAGCTTCCGGCAGTTGTTGGGATTCCATGGTGTCCTGGGTTTGTGGCCACGTGACTCCTACCTCTGCCTCTTGACTTCACATCAACTCCCCTCTCCTGTCCACATATTCTTCTCTTCCGCTTCTTATAAAGACATTTGTCATTGAATTTGGTATCCACCTAGAGAATCTGGGAGGATTTTACCTCGAGATCCTCAATTTAATTACATTACAAAGACCCTGTAACCAAATAAGATCACATTCATAGGTTCCAGAAATTACAACAAGGGAATACTCTTTGGAGGTTACCATTCAGCTCACTATAGTACTATAGTCATCTACATCATACAGAAAATAAACGGAAGCCTGGAGAGGCTTAGCAACTTACCTATGGTCACACAACTATAAAGTGAGGGTAGAGCCATAGTCAAGGGTAGGATGTGTAACTCTACTGTCCATGGTCTAAAACATTACGTTGTGGTATGATACACAGAGCACAGAAAGTGCAATACTGCAGAATAATAATCAGAATCACAGATCTAAAAGAAAGTGATTTAATAATGTGGAGAAAATGTCCCTTGACCAGAGCTAGCTAAGAGTTTCAGCAGTTTTTAAGTGAAGAGATACTGTCAACATAAGGATCACATAGCATGCATTTATTGTTTTTTTGTATATGTTAGTTGTTTGGTAAACTGCACAAATTTAATTTCACAATGTGGGATTCTAAACTAATCTTTTTTTGATGGTTATAAAAAGGATTTTTAACTTATTATATAAACATGTCCTTATTTTTTCTTTTATTTTCAGTTAACATCTAATAATGGTGCATATTTATGGGATACAGAGTGGTATTTCAATATGTGTGTGCAATGTGCAATGATCAAATCAGAGTAAGCATATCAATCACTTCAAACATGTATCATTTCTTTGTGTTGTAAACATTCAAAATCCTCTCTTCTAGCCTTTTGAAAATATACATTAACTCATCATTGATCATATTCTTTCACCCTACAGTCCTGCAGAATACTGGAGCTCATTCCTCCTATCTAACTATAATTTTGTATCTGTTAATCAACTTTTCCTCATCCTCCCCTTTCTCTCTCCTTCACATCCACTATTACCCACAATTCTACTGTTTCCATAAGCTCAATTTGTTTTTAGTTCCTACATGTGAGTGAGAATATATAGTGTTTATCTGTCTGTGCCTGACATATTTTGCTTAACATAATGTCCTCCAGATGTATTCATGTTGCCGTGAATGACAAGATTTCATTCTTTTTATGGTTGAAAAGTATTCCATTGTGTATAACATTTTATTTATTCACTCATCTGTTGATGGACTTTTAGGTTGATTTCATATCTTAGCTATTGTGAGTAGTGCTGCAATAAACACAGGGATGCAGGTATCCCTTTAATATACTGACTTCCTTTCCTTTGGAAAAATACCCAGTGGTGGAATGTCTGGATTATATGGTAGTTCTATTTTTAGTTTGAGAAACCCATACACTATTTTCCGTAAATGCTCTACTAATCTACATTCTCACCAACAGTGCATAAATGTTCTCTTTTCTCTACATCTTTTCCAGCATTTGTTATTTGTTTTGTTATTTTTGTAATAGCCATCCTAACTGGGGTAAGATAGTATCTCACTGTGGTTTTGATTTGCACTCTCTGATGATTAGTGATGTTGAGCATTTTTCCATATATTTGTTGGTTATTTGTATGTCTTCTTTTGAGAAATGTGTATTCAGATGCTTTGTCCACATTTTAATCATTTGGTTATTTGGTTTTCTGCTGTTGAGTTATTTGAGTTCCTTGTATATTCTAGATATTAATACCTTGATGGATGGATAGTTTGCAAATATTTTTCCCATTAAACAAGTTGTCTCTTCACTCTGTTGATTGTTTCCTTTGCTGTGCAGAAGATTTTTAGTTTAATATAGTCTCTTTTGTCTATTTTTGTTGCATATGTTTTGGAAGTCTTAGCTGTAGAATCTTTATCTAGACTAATATCTTGGAGTGTTTTTCAGCATTTTTTCCAGTACTTTTATCATTTCAGTACTTACATTTATGTCATTAATCGATTTTGAGTCGATTTTTGTAGATGGTGAAAGATAGGGATCTAGTTTCATTGTTGTGCATACTGATATCCAATCTTCCCAGCTCCATTTGATTGTCTTTACATTCATCACTCCATTAAAAGATCAGTCCCTGAAATATGTGGGCCTCATCATGTATTTTACAACTCATGTATAATTTTAGTCAAGAATCTAGTCCACAGAATAGGAAAATCTGCAAAGGAATACTTTTTAAAGAATGGTGCCTTGACAATATGAATCCATGTCTAAATAAATCAAGTGGGATAACTATACATTTGCTGGAGTTTTGCTGGTGCCTTATTACATTATACAGTATTACATCACAAGGTGGGTGTGTGTGGGTGTGTGTGTGTGTGTGTGTGTGTTCTGTCCTCCAATTAGGTAGTAAGATGAAAGCCAACTTCAATATCTGGTATGTATCATAGTGCCTTGCCTATAAAATGGGGCAAATAAACATTTTGTGGGAGACTGATTTCTTGGCCTATTAGACATGTGCTTAATATGGGGCACATGGATTTTAAATGAAATAAGAGGTAGGATCTCTGTCTACCTACAGTTTATAGTGTAGTTGACCTCTCCTTTTTTTTTTGTGCTTTTCAAAATCCATATTCTTTCAAGTGCAATGTTCCAGGAGCTGAACTGCCCACAGACAAACTGCAGTAAACTTTTCCACGTCCTAATTTAATTTTTCAAGAAATTTTGTAGTGTGTCTTATAATTAAATTTCATACCATTACTAGAAAGTAATGAATCCAATTAAATTTTAAAGTTCTAATGATCTAATTTATAGTTGATTAATCTTGTAAGATTAATCTGTATTAATATCTTTTCACTTTGTAGGTACAATTCACCTTACATTTCCTAAATCGTGAGTTTTCTCTTATCTTCTTGGTGAAACTATTAGGTAGTAGACTTTGGCTTTTTATGTTTCAGTACCAGTTCAGTAATTCTTATTTACACAAAGTCAAGCAACTTCCTTTTACACAAGATGACAGTCATATTATTTAGTTAGTATTACAGTTGCTTTTGCTTTATGACTTTTATTGTCCTTCATTTTACAGTAGTAAAGATAATTCAAGTCATATGGATTTCCTTAAGAAATGCTAACATTGGCTGTGATTACAAGACCCAAACTTCATTACTGCAAAATTCCAGTAAATATGACATTGAAATATTAATGATAATTAGTATAACACTTATAGGACACTGTCACATGCAGAATTCTATGCCAACTTGTTAGTTTATATTTGGGGAAATTCCATTCTTCCTTGTCAATGGTGTCCAAGATTCACTTATAGAAATCTATGCTGACTTTTTCTCATGGTAAATGTACTATCATCTGTGGCTCTATTTTTATATCATCTACATGCTGATTTATCTCCTATTTTCCCTCATTGTTAAATCATACGGGCTATTCTTTTCCAGAATCAACATGCCAGGGAGATCTTTTTTGACCACCCCATCTAATGTATCTCCTATCCCTAACCACCATCTTTTTAAATATTATTTCATTATGTAAAATTATCTCAGTCACATCTCTGCTTATTTGCACTGCCTGATTTCATCTCCACTATTACTGTTATTCTCAAAGTATAAAACAGTGCCAGGCACATAGTAGGTTCTCAAAAAATACTTGTTGGATAAATTAATGGATGATTGAATCTAAGCTTTCATGTGCAATGAAAGACTTGTGTTGAATTCAGGCTAATAGTAGAAAGAATCTGCTCTTTGTCAAATATGGAAAAGATATATAAGGGTCAGGGAGGGCTTTAAGGAAATCTCAAATTACACTATAGGCTTGATTTTTGTTTCTGGCAGAATTTTTTCTATATGTCAAATCTTTCACTAGAAATATTTAGATCCTTTTAATATTTCAAAAGGTAGTAATGTCAATTTTAATATTCAAAGAGAATAATTTTCCAATAAGAATACATAGAAGTGACACAGTTAGTTGTAAGAGGCATCACATTATGACTTCAAATTCCTAATGAGAATTTTGATGCTTATGGCTAGTCAAAATCAATTTAGAAATAAATGTATCATCTAGCCTGACACAAACTGCTGGAATCAAATAAAGGCCCTTCTCATCCACTTACAGCTCCTTTGCCAATCTATTTGTTGTTATCTGACAGTTGGACATGAACAATAGCTCTATCCATATTGTTGTTAATGGTGTAACTACTAAAAATATTTAGCCTGTGTTTACCCATGTGCTTTATTTACCCTATAAGTGCAGGAACCATGCCCATCTTCTTTACAGTTTTATTCTCTGCAACTACCACAATCTCTAATACATAAAAGTTCCTCTTTCTATTGCGCAAAGGAATGGTCAAGAAACAATTGCCCTTTATCTGCTTTGTACAGGGCCCATGTTTGATTCTAGGAAAGCAAAGTATATAAGAAAGAGAGCTTAGTGTCTAGGGTGGATCCAGCAGTAAAAGCAATCACTAAGTAGTACATATAGAAAGTATAGCCCTAGAGATATTCCCAGTGTGACAGAACAGATAAGGAGCATTTAAACTATCCTGGTCAGGAGGTAGGTGGGAGACAAGTGTCTATGTCCACTATTTAAAAATACGTGCTAGTAGACTTTAGATGTCACTTACACTTACCCAAAATACAGCTAAGATGTAGCTACATGAACTGGTGAAAAAATGCAGCTTTCTTATCCTTTAAAATCCCATGAATATAGCTTTCTTGCCTTCTGAAATTTCCTGAGAAGGACAGTATAATATTTATCTGTAATATAAGTAGTGTTTTGTGGAAGGATGATGGACACAGAATGTCTATCATTTTTCATCTTCCCTTTTCATTTATCCTTTTAATAAATATTTTTGAGCTTATATGCCAGGTAAGCATGTGAAGAACTGAGCCAGGTGCTGCTCGGGGCACTGGTGATAACTTCATCCCTGAGCTCCTGAAGCTTATGTTCTAGTTGAGGGAAGCTGAACAAATGTATGTAATTTCAGCTAGTGATAAGAACTACGAAGGCTAGGAAATAGAAAAGTATAGGTAAGAGGTTGGAAGGTGCTACTTTAGCTAGAGCAATAAGGAAAGAAGCCTCCAAAGAGGGGAGTCTGGATCTACAGCCTAAGTGGTGGAATGATTCAGCAGGTGAAAACCTGGGTAAGAGGAAGTGCAAAGTTCCTCAGTCAGGAACAAGAGTGCTATGATTAAGTGATAGAAATAGGATGTGTATGGCTGTAACAGAGAGAGACAGGGACAGCGGTGGGTAGGTAGGGGGTGGGAGAGAGAATGGTGAAAAAGTGGGCAAAGACTAGATCTATTTTTTAATCCCAAATTCAGCAATGTATTACAACCATCTTATATGTCAGCACTCTGATCCCGAGCATCTGGGCTAGTATTTAATAAATATTTGATGAATGATGTCTAGATAAATAAATCAATGAATAGATGAGTGAGTAAGCAGGTGAATGGGTGAATAAATGAAAGACATATACTGAGTAGCCATGTACTTGCTTCATTCCACAGCTGAAACTTATCTGGCCATATGCCCAGCCAGCTTCCTTAGGGTACCCACTTACTACCTATCCAAAAATTGTTTCTGTCACTAAGGAGGACAGAAGCCAAGTGAAACATGGCAAGGCACTTAGACAAACAAGCATCTCTTTACCTTGCTCCTACCAAAGTGCTCTCCCTGTTTGCTTTACAACACCAAGGTTTTGTCACAAAAAGAAGGAATGTGAACATTATGTAAAAATAAAAATTTGCAATAATTTAATCCCTTCTATTTGTATAATTATTTATAATTTACCAAGTATTTTACTTATATGTCTTTAGATGACACAGATAACCCTGATATATAGTAATTTTTATGCTATCTTACAGGTGGAGAAACACTTCCTTACAGAGATCACATGCAAAGAAGCTTAACTACAGCCCAGTTGTCTGGATTCCACTTTTGGTATTCTTCTTAGTATGGGGCATTCCACGGGACAGGTGCCACTTTGCTTAGGGAGGTACTTATGAGCACCTTCCATCAGGGGGAATAATTGCTTCACTACAAGAGCTACTCTTTCTACAAGAGTCCAAGTTAATCAAAGTAGTGGCAATAAAACTCAACATTCCTACCTTGGAATAGTTTTTCTTGCTTTTAACCTCCCTCCTTCAGAGAAGAGATGGTTATTGGCTAATATACTTTGTATGCACCCATTTCAGCAGGTTACTGTCTTAAATGCAATGAATACAATGAAAGGAAAAGAAAATTGGCTGCTGGGAACACATTGAGGCTGTTGTCTTAATTTGCATGTATGTTTATAAAAAGTATTGAACTGTATTATGAAAAAAACTACACATGATAGTGAGTTAAGATGTTGGAAAAGCTTCAGAGACCAAAAAAGAAAAGCTAAAGGTATTTAATTTGGTCATATCAACATGACTGTGTCATTTATATCAGGCACTTACCCATAGGCCCTATAGAAACAAGCATGAGTATTATTAAAAGCATTCATAGACCTCCAGTAAACTTTATTTGGTTTTAACTCTAAACCCTAAGTATGTTTTTTTCATAGTTGATTCTTCTTCTAATAACATTCATTAACCAGAATTTATGGTATTTATTTTGGCTAATATTTACTGAGCTCTTGCCATATGACAGGCACTGTGTAAACACTTTAATTGATATCTAATTTAATCTTCACCACGATCTTTGAAGTAGAAATCATTGATATTCTTATTTTGTAGATTAGGGAATCAAGGCACAAAAAGGTTAATCAACTCACCCAGGTTACACTACATGAAACAGGGATAGCGAGGACCAGTACTCAAGCAATCGCCAGATCACAACTTTAAATCTTTCATGATCACTCTAACTTCAGCCCTGAATGTGCAGAGATAAGAACAGTTAGCGAGTGAACTTACAGATTATACTTATAAAATGATTATTTTTAGGTTCATGGTCCTTCCATACAGGTTATACTGTAGTATGGAATACTATGCTGCCATAAAAAAGAATAAGATCATGTCTTTTGCAGGGACATGAATGGAGCTGGAGGCCATTATTCTTAGCAAACTAATGTCAGAACAGAAAGCCAAATACTGCATGTTCTCACTTATAGGTGGGAGCTAAATGATAAGAATACATAGGCACATAGAGGGGAACAACACACACTGGAGCCTATCCGAGAGTGGAGGGTGGGAGAAGGAAAAGAATCAAGAAAAATAACTAATGGGAACTAGGCTTAATACCTGAGTGATTAAATAATCTGGACAACAACCCCACATGACACAAGTTTACCTATGTAACAAACCTGTACATGTACCCCCAAAGTTAAAATAAAAGTTATCAAAAAAGTGACCTAATGATATCTTATTTTCAAAATACCCACTCTCTGTTCTACATTCAATTCACAAGGTATTTTAGAGACTAGACTATTGTCCTCTTACATAGAGCTAATAATTCACTAAAGTTTCCTTGAATCTGTTTACTTGGCTTGAGTTCTTTTTTAAAATTTAATTTTGTAAAAAATTTCTGTGCATACATAGTAGTCATACATATTTAAGGGGTAACTGACATATTTTGATACAGGAATACAATGCATAATAATCACATCAGGGTAAATGGAGTATCCATCATCTCAAGCATTTATCCTTTCTCTTTGTTACAAACATTCCAATTATGCTCTATATTTTAAAATGCACGTTGGTTTACTGTTGACTGTAGTCACCCTGTTGTGTTATCAAATACTAAAGTTTATTCATCCTATTTAACTATATTTTTGTACCTGTTAATCACCCCCACTTCCCACCCCCAACCACTACCCTTCCCAGCCTCTGATCACCTTCTTTCTACTCTCTATATGCATGAGTTCAATTATTTTAAAATTTACTCCCATAAATGACTGAGAACATGCAAAATTTGTCTTTCTGTGCCTAGCTTATTTCACTTAACATAATGTCCTCCAGTTCCAACCATGTTGTTGCAAATGACAGGATCTCATTCTTTTTATGGCTGAATAAGTACTCCCTTGTGTATATGTACCACATTTTCTTTATCCACTTTATCCACGTTTCTGTCAATGAACATGTAGGTTGCTTCCAAATCTTGGCTAGTGCGAATGGTGCTGCAATAAACATGGGAGTGCAGATATCTCTTCCACATACTGATTTATTTCCTTTGGATAAATATCCAGTAGTGGAATTGCTAGAACATGTAATAGTTCTATCTTCAGATTTTTGAAGAAACTCCATACAGTTCTCCATAGTGGTTGTACTAATTTACATTCCACCAACAATGTATGAGGGTTCCCTTTTCTCCACGTCAGCCCCATTATTCATTATTGCTTATCCTTTTGATAAAAGCCATTTTTACTGGGATGAAATGATATCTCATTGTACTTTTGATTTTCATTTCTCTGATGATCAGTAATGTTGAGCTCTTTTCCATATGCCTGTTTTCTGTTTGAATGTTTTCTTTTGAGATGTGTTTATTATGATTTTTTGCCCATTATTTAATAAGATTATTTGATTTTTTTCCTGTAGACTTGTTTGAGCTCCTTGTATATTCCAGGTAAGAATCCCTTGTCAGGATGGAGGAATATTTACCAAGCAAATGGAAAGCAAAAAAAAGCAAGAGTTGCAATCCTAATCTCTGAAAAAACAAACTTTAAACTAACAAAGATCAAAAGAGACAAAGAAGGGCATTACATAATGGTAAAGGGATCAATGCAACAAGAAGAGCTAACTATCCTAAATAAATATGCACCCAACACAGGAGCACCCAGATTCATAAAGCAAGTTCTTAGAAACCTACAAAGAGACTTAGACTCCCATACAATAATAGTGGGAGACTTTAACACCCCATTGTCAATATTAGACAGATCAATCAGACAGAAAATTAACAAGGATATTCAGGACGTGAACTCAGTTCTGGACCAAGCAGACCTAATAGACATCTACAGAATTCTCCACCCCAAATGAACAGAATATACATTCTTCTCAGCACCAAATCACACTTATTCTAAAATTGACCACATAATTGAAGGTAAAACACTCCTCAGAAAATGCAAAAAAAAATAAAAATAAAAAAAAAAACAAAAAAAAACACAGAAATTATAACAAACAGTCTCTCAGACCACAGTGTAATCAAACTAGAACTCAGGATTAAGAAACTCACTCAAAACTGCACAACTACATGGAAACTGAACAACCTGCTCCTGAATGACCACTGGGTAAATAATGAAATGAAGGCAGAAATAAAGATGTTCTTTGAAACTAATGAGAACAAAGACACAACATACCAGAATCTCTGGGACACATTTAAAGCAGGTGTGTAGATGGAAATTTATAGCACTGAATGCCCACAAGAGAAAGCAGGGAAGATCTGAAATTGACACCCTAACATCACAATTAAAAGAACTAGAGAAGCAACGGCAAACAAATTCAAAAGCCAGCAGAAGACAAGAAATAAATAAGAACAGAGCAGAACTAAAGGAGACAAAGACACTTAAAACCCTTCAAAAAAAATCAATGAATCCAGGAACTGGCTTTTTGAAAAGATCAACAAAATAGACCTCTAGCCAGACTAATAAAGAAGAAAAGAGAGAAGAATCAAATAGATGCAACAAAAAATGCTAAAGGGGTTATCACCACCGATCTCGCAGAAATACAAACTACCATCAGAGAATACTATAAACACCTAAATCTACAATAAATGGATAAATTCCTGGACATATACACCCTCCCAAGACTAAACTAGAAAGAAGTCAAATCCCTGAATAGACCAATAACAAGTTCTGAATTGGCAGCAATTAATAGCTTACCAACCAAAAAAATCCAGGACCAGATGGATTCACAGCCAAATTCTACCAGAGGTACAAAGAGGAGCTGGTACCATTCCTTCTGAAACTATTCCAATCAAAAGAAAAGGAGGGAATCCTCCCTAACTCATTTCATGAGGCCAGCATCATCCTAATACCAAAACCTGGCAGGACACAACAAAAAAAGAAAATTTCAGGCCAATATCCCTGAAGAACACTGATGCAAAAATCCTTAATAAAATACAGGCAAATTGAATCCCAGCAGCACATCAAAAAGCTTATCCACCACGATCAAGTCAGCTTCATCCCTGGCATGCAAGGCTGCTTCAACAAACACAAACCAATAAACGTAAACATTATATAAACAAAACCAATGACAAAAACCACATAATTATCTCAAGAGAGGCAGAAAACCTTTCAACAAAATTCAACAACCCTTCATGCTAAAAACTCTCAATAAACTAGGTATCAATGGAACATATCTCAAAATAATAAGAGCTATTTATGACAAACCCACAGTCAATATCATACTGAATGGGCAAAAACCGGAAGCATTCCCTTTATAAACCAGCACAAGACAAGAATGCCCTCTCTCACCACTCCTGTTCAATATAGTATTGGAAGTTCTGTCCAGGACAATCAGGCAAAAGGAAGAAATGAAGGGTATTCAAATAGGGAGAGAGGAAGGCAAATTGTCTCTGTTTGCAGATGACATGATTGTATCTTTAGAAAACCCCATCATCTCAGCCCAACATCTCCTTAAGCTGATAACCAACTTCAGCAAAGTCTCAGGATATAAAATCAGTGTGCAAAAATCACAAGCATTCCTATACACCAATAACAGACAAACAGAGAGCCAAATCATGAGTGAACTCCCATTCACAATTGCTACTAAGAGAATAAAATACCTAGGAATACAACTTACAAGGGATGTGAAGGAACTCTTCAAGGAGAACTACAAACCACTGCTCAAGGAAATAAGATAGGATACAAACAAATAGAAAAACAACCCATGTTCATGGATAGGAAGAATCAATATTGTGAAAATGGCCATACTGCCCAAAGTAATTTATAGATTCAATGCTATCCCCATCAAGCTACCATTGACTTTCTTCACAGAATTGGAAAAAACTACTTTAAACTTTGTATGTAACCAAAAAAGAGCCCACATAGTCAAGACAATCCTAAGCAAAAAGAACAAAGCTGGTGGCATCACACTACCTGACTTCAAACTATACTACAAGGCTACAGTAACCAAAACAGCATGGTACTGGTAACAAAACAGAGATACAGACCAATGGAACAGAATAGAGGCCTCAGAAATAACACCACACATCTACAACCATCTGATCTTTGACAAACCTGACACAAGCAGGCAATGGGGAAAACATTCCCTATTTAATAAATAGTGTTAGGAAAACTGGCTAGCCATATGCAGAAAACTGAAACTGGACCCCTTCCTTACACCTTATACAAAAAATCAACTTAAGATGGATTAAAGACTTAAACCTAAGACCTAAAACCATAAAAATCCTAGAAGAAAAACCTAGGCAGTACCATTCAGGACATAGGCATGGGCGAAGACTTCATGTCTAAAACACCAAAAGCAATGGCAACAAAAGCCAAAATTGACAAATGGGATCTAATTAAACTAAAGAGCTTCTGCACAGCAAAAGAAACTACCATCAGAGTGAACAGACAACCTACAGAATGGGAGAAAATTTTTGCAATCTATCCATCTGACAAAGGGCTAATATCCAGAGTCTACAAAGAACTTAAACAAATTTACAAGAAAAAAACAACCCCATCAAAAAGTGGGCAAAGGTTATGAACAGACACTTCTCAAAAGAAGACATTTATGCAGCCAACAGACACATGAACAAATGCTCATCATCACTTGTCATTAGAGAAATGCAAATCAAAACCACAGTGATATACCATCTCACACCAGTTAGAATGCCGATCATTAAAAAGTCAGGAAACAATGACTTTTTTCCTGGAGAGGATGTGGAGAAATAGGAACACTTTTACACTGTTGGTGGGAGTGTAAATTAGTTCAACCATTGTGGAAGACAGTGTGGTGATTCCTCAATTATCTAGAGGTAGAAATACCACTTGACACAGCAATCCCATTACTGGGTATATACCCAAAGGATTATGAATCATTCTAGTATGAAGACACATGCACACTGCACACGTATGTTTATTGCGGCACTATTCACAATAGCAAAGACTTAAAACCAACACAAATGTCCACCAATAATAGACTGGAAGAAAATGTGGCACATATACACCATGGAATACTACACAGCCATAAGAAAGGATGAGTTCTTGTCCTTTGCAGGGACATGGATAAAGCTGGAAACCATCATTCTCAGCAAACTATCACAAGAACAGAAAACCAAACACCGCATGTTCTCATTCATAAATGGGAGTTGAACAATGAGAACACATGGACACAGGAGGGGAACATCACACACTGGGGCCTGTCAGGAGGTGGGGGGCCAGGGGAGGAATAGCATTAGGAGAAAAACCTAATGTAGGTAACGGGTTGATGGGTGTAGCAAACCACCATGGCACGTGTATACCTATGTAACAAAACTGCACATTCTGCACATGTACCCCAGAACTTAAAGTGTAATAGTAAGTAAAAGAATTCCTTGTCAGATGGATAGACTGTAAATATTTTCTCCCATTCTGTGGGTTGTTTCTTCACTTAGTTGATCGTTTCCTTCGCAGTGCAAAAGCTTTTTAACTTGATGTGATCCCATTTGTGAATTCTGGCTTTGATAACCTATTCTTGTGGAGTATTACTCAAGAAACCTTTGCCCAGACCAGTATCCTGGAGAGATTCCTCAATGTTTTCTAAAATTTAAATATTGTGGAGGTCTTAGATTTACTCTTAGTTTGAGGTCTTAGTTTAAGGTCTTAGATTTAAGTCTTTATTTCCTTTTGATTTTATTTTGTTGGCACTCCATTGTATGTTATTTGTTTCTTTTCTATTGCTACTGTTGGGATACTTTCTTTATCCTTGACGTTTGGGAGTTTGATTATTAAATGTCTTGAGGTACAGTCTTATTTAGGTTAAATATGTTTGATGTTCTATAAACCTTGTATTTGAATATTGATATATTTCTCTAGGTTTGGGAAGTTCTCTGTTATTATCCTTTCGAATAAACTTTCTACCCCAATCTATCTCTCCACTTCCTCTTTATGGCCAATAACTGTTAGATTTGCCCTTTTGAGGCTATTTTCTACATCTTGTAGGCAGCCTTCATTCTTTTTTATTCCTTTTTCTTTTTGTCACTTCTGACTGTGCATTTTCAAATAGCCTACCTTCAAGCTCACTAATTCTTTCTTTTTCTTGGCCAATTCTGCTGTTAAGCAATTCTGATGTGTTATTCAGTATGTCAGTTGCATTTTTCAACTTCAGAATTTCTGCCTGATTCTTTTTAATTAGTTCAATTTCTTTGTTAAATTTCTCTGGTAAGATTCTGAATTCTTTGTCTGTTATCTTAAGATTCATTGAATTTCCTCAAAACAACTATTTTAAATTATCTGTCTGAAAGGTCACATATCCTTGTCTCTCCAGGATTGGTCAATGGTGCCTTATTTAGTTCATTTGGTGAGGTCATGTTTTCCTGGATAGTCTTGATATTTGTGGGTGTTTGTCAATGTCTGGGCATTGAAGGGTTAGGTATTTATTTTTGTCTTTGCAATCTGGGCTCGTTTGTACCCATCTTTTTTGGGAAGACTTTCTAGGTATTAGAAGGGACTCGAGTGTTGTGATCTAAGTTTTTGGTCTCTGCAGCCATATCTGCATTAGGGGGCATCCCAAACCCAGAAACACTGTGGCTCTTGAAGACTTGTTGAAGTACTGCCTTGGTTGTCTTGGCTAAGATCTGGGAGAATTACCTGGAATACCAGGCAGAGACTCTTGTTCTCTTCCCTTACTTTCTCCCACCAAACATCAGTTCCCTCTGTGTGCTGAGCTGCCTGGAGCTGGGGGATGGCTCACCAAGCACCCCTGTGGCCATCGCCACTGAAACTGCACTGGGCAGGCCAGAAGTCAGCAAAGTACTGGATCTCATCCAAGGTCCATAGCAACTACTGACTGGCTACTGCTCACATTTGCTTAAAGCCCTAGGGCTCTACAATCAGCAGGCAGTGAAGCCAGCCAGGCTTGTGTTCTTCCCTTTAGGGTGACAAGTTCCTCCTGGTTCCAGGCAGGTCCATAGATGCTGTACAGCAGCCAGGGTCTGGAGTCAGAAACTTTAGAAATCTACCTGGTGCTCTATTCTACTGAGGCTGAGTTGGCACCGAAGCCACAGGAAAAAGTCGGTTGCAACCTTCTTTTCCCTTTTCACAAGCAGAGGTATCTCTTTCTGTGGCCACCCCTGCCCCAAGCCCATGGTGAGTACTGCCTGGAAACCATCGATGTTCATTCAAGGTCCAAGGGTTCTTCAGTCAGCTTGTTGTGAATGCTGCCAGACATGGGACTCACTTTTCCGAGCAGTGGTTCTCCTCTGGCCCAGGACAGGTCCAGAAATGCCATCCAAGAGCCAAGGCCTAGAATCAGGGACCTGAAGAGCCTGCCATGCACTCTACCCCACTGTAGCCAAGCTAGTACCTGAGTTGATTCTTGGTTCTTATGAAGGTGCTTTTTTGTGTGGATAGTTGTTCAGCTTGGTAGTCCTGTGGGGAAGACAATTGGTGCAGGCTTCTAGTCAGCCATCTTGCACTGCCTCCTCCTGTTTATATCACTTAATTCAGCTGTTTTAAAAACAGTGGCTCTTTCTGCAGCTGCTTTCAGGTGGGCTAAAAACAATCGAATTTTATTTTTTTAATTGACAAGTAATAATTGTAGATAGTCCTAAGATATTTTGTGATGTTTTGAACTATATGATGTATAATAATCAGATTAAGGTAATTAGCACATTTCAGCTCTTATTTTACCCATGATAAATTCTTCATTTACAAGGATGAATATTCCACAAATTCTCTTATCAGAGAGTTGGCCTACAACATAAGGTTATTTTTGTTTTTGTAAGAAAGAATGACCACCATCATAATTGACAAACCATACTCTTGTTTATTTTCTCCTCTCTCACCAATAATTGAGTTTCAGTAATAAATAATAAATGTGATTTATATAACTAATTTGTACAGAGCATCAACAAAATATCTTAAAGATCAGGCACATTTATAAAAGAAACTAGCACTTACTTGGAACTTTTTCTCTACCTGTCACCAGTCTAAGAACTTTACATAACGCACTTTCCAATTTCATTTTGAAACTAGCCTGTCAGGTAGATATTATTATTCCCATTCTGCAGAAAAGAAAACTGGAATGTTCTCACAGTAAGAAAAAAAAATATCATTCAAACTCATGTCTTTCTAACACTGAAACTTATATTCATTCCTCTTCACTGGAAGGCTAAACATCTGTAGAAGAAATAATGAGAAGATGACTCTGAATGATATTTGTATGATGAAGGAAAGAAGTGTTTCCACAATAAGTAAAAATACTGGATATTATGAGGGAATGTGAGAGAATAAAGTATAAAATTGATGTCAGAAGAGTACTGGAGATCATCCAAATTATAGTAATTTTCATTATTTTGTAACAAATGGAAGATGAAGAGAACCTGAGGCAAGGCAGTGCAAATATAGGGAAGAGAGAAGGAGAAAGAGTCAGGAGATGTGCATGGCATAGATCAATGTAGAGACAACTGCGTTAAAAAGTGCCACATACGGAGCAACCAATAAGCACTGGTTAACTTGCTTTCCCACTCGGAGTGCAACAGTTTTTACTGAAATTATCGGTTGGATCCTGATATTGAGTTCAGGGCACTTTCTAAAAAGTGTACCTGGGCATTAGTTTTTGTTGTTTGCTAAATTTGGAAATTTTAAAGCAGTTTTGTATAGAGCAACTTAATTCACACAACAGAATGCTTATTAACGGTAAGCCTAAATATATGTTCATATGCTATCGGTTCATATGCAGCAGTCAGTTTGGTCTTCTATAACAAATTATCATAGACTGGTTGGCTTAAACAGCAAACATTTATTTCTCACAGTTTTGGAGGCTAGAAAATCCAAGATCAAGGTACCTGCAAACCAAGTGTGTGGTGAGGGCTCTTCCTGGCTCACAAATGGCCACCTTCTTGTTGTATTCTTACATGGCAGAGAGAGAGAGAGAGATCTATGCCTCTTTTTTTTTTGTTTGTTTCATCTAATTTTTTTATCATTTTCAAATTGACACATGATAATTGTATATGGGATACAATGTTATCTTTTGATCCATGTATACATTGTAGAAAGATTAAATCAAGCCAGTTTATCCCTTACATTGTGGTGAGAATGTTTAAAATCTATTTATAATCAATTAAAAAATATACAATACCTTATTATTAAGTATAGTCACTATATAGTACAATAGATCACAAAAATGTATTCCTTCATTCTAACTGAACTGAAACTTTGTAGTCTTTAACCAATATGTCCTTTTTTCCCATCCCACTCTTCTCTGCTCTCCCCACTTAATTAGCCTCTAGCAACCAACTTTCTACTCTGTTTCTGAGACTGATTTTTTTAGATTCCACGTATAAGTGAGATCATGCAGTATTTGTCTTTTTTGTGCCTGGCTTATCTCACTTAGCATAATGTCGTTGAGAGCATTAACCTCATCATGACGGTCCCACCCTCATGGCCTAATCCAACTCTAAGCCCTCACCTCCAAACACCATCACATTGGTAGACAGGATTTCAACATATGAACTCTGGGGAGACACAAACATTAAGTCCATAACACATGCCAACCAAATAATAGTTGTATTTTAACTGTCTAGGTATAAACTGTATTGTAGTACTATTCTTAGATGTCAGTTCTTACTCAATGACATGAAAACCTTAGCCAGATACATCTAAAAAAATGTTTTGGTCTTGGTTGTCTAGCTCCTCTTTTGTAGCTTATTTGTTTGTGTGTGTGCACATGTGCGTGTATCCATACATGAGTTCTGCTATGTATTTTATGCTAGACAACGTCCTGTGGTGGTTGTTCTCAACTGGGTATCTATGCCTACCTGAACTGAATGTGTTAATTACAGAGTGCTGTCAATTCTTCAGTCTGCAATTATCAACGTTCTTCAACTATGATATTTCCATAGCTTTAGCAACATAGATCTGTGCAAATATGGTACCTGAGAAGATGGAACATCCTTCCAAACATGCACTGGGAATCACCTCATCACACATGACTATTTTGAGCAGGATTTTATATGCTGCCATGAATTTTGATAGGAGAAAAACTTCTGTTCTCTTAAATCTCTATTTAAAAAAGAGAGAGGGAGGCAAGAAGAAAAAAAAGCAAGCCTGCAATTATCTACTTTTTTATACAATCAAATGTTTCCTACACTTACAGCAGCTATAGTTAAAGAAGTCCATGTACTAATTAATTTGAATTTGCTGTTTCATCATTGCATGCCAATTTATAGACAATACAAGCACACACAAAATTAAGTTCCTTGAACATAGTTAGACTTAAACCAATGTTAATTTTTATTTCCTTTCAAAGTCATTATCTGCTTTTAGATTGGACTTTCATTTTGTAACAAAGAGAATAATTTTTTAAAATTATATTTTTTAAAAATAGAGAAAGTTGGCTGTTTTTGATGGCCCACAGAAAAACTAAAATATAATTAAGGGAGAACAGATACATAGGTATGAAACTTGGTTGGGTACTTTCACTGATACTTGCACAAATTACATATTTACCTATGTTATGCCACTTCTAGAAGATGCTTGTTTAATATATAACATTATCTTTTACTGTTTTCACCTTAATTTAATTTCAAAAAATCTTTTTATAAATGGCTAGTATGTTTTGTAAATTCATGCATTCAACAAATGACCATCCACAGATACTGCATGCAAGGCTCTGTGCTGTCCTCTAGATGATGCAGAGATGGTTGATTTCTGGAATCTACCCACAGATGCCAGATTTACAAGAGGATAATAAAGTTTAAACATGTTCAATACCAAAGATGGTTTTTGGTAATACCCTGCAAAAGTTTAGACAAGACAGAAGGCTGATATTTTCAGGAAAGCAAAAAATAAATAAATAAATAAAATAAAATAAAATTTAAAATAATTCATGCTTTTGTTCCAGAAACATCAAAAAACAGATTTCTTTATTAGCTCATTCTGAGTTGCAAATTTTTTCTGGATGATTTTTTTGTGGTTGCAGCTCACTTGGCATCAGCTCCCTTTTTCTGCCAGCACAGCCAAGGTATTCCACGCGTTCACTGTAAATGGAAGTTTATACTGTGCTGGTGGACTGAGATTCCAGGAAGGAGGGCCTCCATGACATGGACAGACCTAGCTTTGTGGCACAAAGCACAACAGCTAAGTCAAATGAAAGCTTACAGTGGATGATAAAAAATAAATTCAGTCAAACAAATATGTTCTCCTAACTGCTGTAGCAAACTTCTTTCTTTCTCCTGGCTGCCAGCTCTTTTCAAAGATGATTCCCAAAGGCTTTTTTCCTTTGTTTAGGTTTCGTATGGGGTAAATTAATTCATGATTTGTTGTTAAAAAACAGTAAAAACAAAGTAAAACACACACACACACACACAAACACACAAACACCTCTTTCCCTAGTCTTCCTCAAAATACCCACAGGAACCCACCCAATAGAATGGCCTGAAACAAAATACTTTTGTTCAAAGCCAGCAAGTCTGGCAAAGCTGCAAGCTCTGCCCATAGCTACCTGTATCATGGGTAGCTGCAGAGAAATATGCAAACTGGCAAACTGGGTACCTTTTACTGTTTTACAACAATATGTTTTATTGTTCTCTCGCTAAGTTCTTTGCCAAGGGCAAAGAGTACTGAAGTAGCTAGCAACAGCCCAGACACAGCTGTCAGCATGAGCCTTACCACTTCTGGCATTGCTTTTTTAGCCAAGAGGCACTGCAATTGCTTACCAATAAGTTGTGATGAGTTGATAATGCAAGTAGACTAGATCATAAATATTTTAGTATTTAAGCATGCTTTTTCATTTACGGTGACTTAGTGCTGCAATGGCAAAGGACTTTCCCCTAGGATAGGCAATTAGGGATAGGTGGAAATGCATATTAGAACATTTATGATAATGAGAAAACTACTTTTAATTGAGTACATTAAGGCTGATCTACAATGATTAAAGCAAAACTCTATTCAAAATGAAGCTTTATTATCACATTTTAAAACCTATACTATGAAACAATTTTTAACTGAAAAATATTTATAAAATACAACTTTGCATCTCTAGTAACATCAAAACCAAAGTGAATTATCTGAAATGAACAAGAATGGGTAGGAAAAAGAAATTGATTACATATGACTAGCAGCAATTGATATAAAGCTACTCAATACGTTAATGGATCTCTGTACTGAATTTTCATCCACTCTTTAGGAATTCTCATTTAGTGTTTGATACTTCTGAATATTGTATTTAAGGATATTTCATTAAGGCTGGATTGTTTACAACAGTCGTAATTATTGTCCCATTCTCTAGATAACTCTGACACCATGGGTGATGACGCTCTGTATGAAACTTTGCATAAGGCTTTCCCTGCTTGCCTCTCTTGCAGGCAGTGTGAGTGACCCTCTCTCCCTATGTATGCATTTAATTCTTCCTCCCCTTACACTCACTTCCTAACCCTACTCCTCTTCTTACTGTTTCAGATCTAAGCTCTCAAAAACCCCTAAGGAAAAAAAAAGGCAAAGGCACATGTAGCTTTGTCAGTGCATTGGAGGGTATGAGACAGGGTTTGAATGCTAATTCGGCTACCCACTCTAAAATGAGGCTAATGATACTGCACAGTGTGGTTGGGAGATGAAATAACACATGCAAGGGCTTTTAAAATTTTAATGTGCAGAGAAATAGAAAACATTATTCTATTTCAATTCTGAAGAAAAATATGTAAATATGTCACATTTTGTCCCTTGATCAGCAATGGTTCCAAATCAAGAGTGTCTTAACTATGCCTGTTTCCCTCATAAATTTTACATAAAGTTCTGAAAATATTGCCACCATTTTATAAAGGAATGGACGGCAATCAAGGCAGAAACTGTTTGGAAAATAGAGGTTTGTTTGTTTACTTGAGGTGGAAACAATTCTCTCATCTATGTGTTGTTTATTCTCTTCAGTGAACATTTTCCTCTTTGTATCTCGGTTCTAAAGCCTCTCTGAGAACGTATATTTCAAAAGCACATGAAATAAAATCACATCGATCCTCTGTTTTACTTCATCTTGTTTGGGTGGGAGGAGATTTAATTTATATATGGTTGTGATTTTCATCATCTATCTTATGAAGCACCGTTTGGTTTTATTTGTGGGTTAGTTTCATCCTTAATACTCTTAAAAATAAAAGGGATATATGTTTTTGGTTATGTTTTGGGGGTTCTTTTCAAGCTATACTTTAATCAATGACTTCTCACATCAGTAAATGTGATAAAACTTCAATACCCAATCAACTTGTAATAATCCAAAAAAGAAAATGCTAGCCTGGATCAGCTAGGTGACTCTTTTAAACATAGAATTGAAGATAATGTGTTAAAGCCAATGCCTGATTTAAGGTATCTCCACAGTTGCTCCGATAATTCTGTTTTGAAGCACTAGATGGCACTATGAATTCACTTAATTTGGAACCAAACTAGCCCATCCATAATTTCAAAGAGAAAAAAAGATGAGACTTTTCCTTAACTGATTTGATAGTCTGACACATATGCTTAAGGAAATGAATTTATATGATGTAACAGTTATTTCATTAAGTCTCAGTGAAAAAAAGCATTCTCTTTTGGCAAGGAAAATGTGACTGTTTCTACAAACACAAACCAGTCAAATCAGCACTCAAAATCTAGTCAGAGAAAAAAAGAAAGTCAGACATGCTTGTTGGGCAACTTGACTGCTTTTTGACTGACTTAAATATTTTCTTGACTACTTGACAGTCAAAACAGTCAAGCCAGTTTGTGTGTGTCAATACAGACTGTACTTTATATGTTACAAAGTGAATGTCTATGTTTGTTAGATTTCTTTCCTGCCATCTTTGTAGTCTGGCTGGTTAGCTCAGCTGGTTAAGGCAGTCTACTAATGAGGCCAAGGTCACTCTGGTTTCCATTCCTGCCTTGGGGGATATGTTCTCCTCACAGAGGGAAAGGCTGCTCTTTGGCTAGGAACTGCATTCTTCACTCTGGACAGCCATCTCACAAATGCCTGATCTTAAAAGATTACTGCATATGGAAGTCTACATGATCAGAATAAACACATCATTATAAGAAGATAAAAACAACTCAAATTGTATATTGTATTAACAGCAGAACCACGATGTCATTTTTCTAAAGAAAGGACTCAAGAGAGTCCTTCTAAAATCAGCTTCATTAACTAGCGAAATTCTATTTCTTGTCCATCCATTCAAATATTGTATATTGTCAAGAACTTGCTTAGGCAGAGAGCTAGCTACTGGAGAATAGAGTAAGGAATAGCCTGTATCACAATGACTTCACAATATAGTGAGGAAGATAAACAAGCAAACAAATATTAGATAATGTGATAAATACTACTATAAAGGTATATACATAAACTTCCAAGGAAGGGAAAATAAAGTCTAATTTCCAGGCAGTTATATGAGCTAGATCTCAAAGAACTGACATGAATTCAACTACAGTATATGGAAAAGGGAATTCCAGGTGAAGAAATAGTGTGTGAAGACAGAGAGATGTCTGAGTGGCATGTCTGCAAACAGAGAAGTGTTTCCTGTGCCTAGAATTTTGAGTATGTGGTAAGAAGTGGCAAGAGCTGAGCTGGTAAGATAAGAGATCTAAATAAAATCAAGGGAGTTTTCCATAACCTAAAAACTTTATGAAATCCAAAGTCTAAAATAAATATTCAGGAGTTCCTGCTAATAAAAACAATTGATTAAATAAGAAAATGGGGGGAGATTAGACACATCTTTTGTCCAAAGAATCCCAAATTATGCAGAAAAGTCACCCCACCCAAGAAGGTGGAGCATAACTCCTCACTCCATGTAAGTCATACGGTGACTTCCTTCTAAACGGCACAATTCAGAAAAAGTGGGGAGGAATAACTTTACCATAGACAAACTTGACAAACACACCTCAGCCAGGTGATCAAGGTTAACATTAATAGTGATAAGTCATTTTGATTGTACTTTATGGCTATGGTCTTCCTCCCCAAAACTCATAAACCCAACCTAACCATGATATCAGGCAAATCCCAACT
Source organism: Homo sapiens (assembly GCF_000001405.40). Lineage (NCBI taxonomy): Eukaryota > Metazoa > Chordata > Mammalia > Primates > Hominidae > Homo > Homo sapiens. Next base: position 94,051 of record NW_003315907.2, on the reverse strand, counting down.
GAGGTACATTGGACAAGATACCAGTACTCCTTAGCTAGGCATGATGGCACATGCCTTTGGTCCTAGCTACTCAGAAGGGTGAGGCAGGAGGATTGCTTAAGCTCAGGAGTTTGAGGCCAGTCTAAGGCAGTACATCAAGACCCCATTACTATGTAAAAAAAAAAAACAGATTTAAATATACTTATTTTTTTAAATGCAACTACATCTCAAAATTTTCATAGTCATCAAAAATTGTCACAGTCAAGTGGAACCTAAGAAAACATGACAGTTAACCTATATATGACAATCTGGATAGGATCCCAGAAAAGAAAAAAAGCAGTAAGTTAAAAACCAAGGAAATCTGAATAAAACAAGGACTTTACTTAATAATGTAGCAATATTCATTCATTAATTGTGACAAATGTACCATACCAATATATGATGTTGATAATAGGAGACACAGAGTATGAGATATATGAGACCTTCCTGTACTATCTTTACATTTTTTCTGCAAATATAAAGCTGTTCTAAAAAAATCTGAGTCAAAAATTGTCATTTTGAATAAAATTAACATACTATTTTTCAAAAAATACATCCAGACAATGGAATATTACTCTGCACTAAAAAGAAGTGAGCTATCAAGCCATAAAAAGACATAGAAGAAACTGAAATACATTACTAAGTGATAGGAGCCTATCTGAAAAGGCTATGTATGATTCCTACTATATGACATTCTGTAGAAAAAGCAAACTATGGACGACAAAAAGATCAGTAGTTGTCAGGGATTGGGGCAGGGAGGGAATGAATAGGCAGAGCACAGAGGATTTTAGGGCAGTGAAACTATTGTGTATGATACTACAACGGTGGATACCTGTCATTATGTATTTGTCCAAACTCATAGAATAGTCAACACCAAGATAAACTCTTACACATATTATGGACTTTTCGTGATAAAGGTGTGTCAATGTAGTTCATAAATTATAACAAATGTGTCACTCTGATGGGAGATAATGCTGAAGGCTATGCTTGTGTGTGGGTAACAGGCACATGGGAAATCTCTGCACATTTCTCTCAATTTTGCTATGAACCTAAAACTGCACCAGAGACAGGGAAGAAACATAATGAAAAGGAGAATTGTAAAGCTTCCAAGAGTGATTACTCTTTCTTCATGAGCCAACATGGCCCATTATACTTAATGAATATGAACAAGACAAACTCAGTTCACATATTTCCAGATGATGAAATGAAGGTTCAGAACCATTGCTTCCACAGTTGTGGCAGTGGCAGAGGAACAGTGGCCTCAGGGCCTGTACTGCAAAATGTATTCCCTGTACATTGTGTTCTATGCGAATGGTGTCCCTTGGAGTTGTACCATCTGGTAGAATTGCAGAGGTCATACCAAATCCAGATCTTTTGAATTCTAATTCTGTTTACTTGTTCCTCATTAGGGACAACTGGATAAGAACTAAAAATATGTGGGAGTGTTCTGACACCCATGCATTCAGTGACATATTTTATTATTGCAAAAAAGCATTTTTTTTCTAGATTCTTTTTTGCTCACTCTGCAACTTACACTGGAAGTAAGAATACCATCAGTGCACCACCCAAGGGCAAAATCATGATGCATTTCTGAGTCAGCAATTGGGGGGAAATGCATTCATTTCTAGCAATACCTACTGAGCAATGCTCAGTGACAGTTCCTTAATACTGAGAAAAATGTTGAACTACTATTTATTATTGCTTTCAGTACATTTATGTTATTCAATTTGTCTACCTACTTGGTATTTATTTCTTTATCTGTTGGAAAGTTTCTTTCATCTTAGATATCATATTGAAAATTTTGATTAGCCTTTGAGTCAGTAGTTTTCAATTATTTTGGCAGTGAGCACTAAGAAATATTTTACATAGTGATCCAGTAGATAGATTCAAAGAAGCATAGCACACATTTAACTAAAATAAATATTTCACAGAACATGTAAATACAAATGATTCCTTTGTGCAATTACTCATATTCTCTTTGATTCTATTGTCATTCATTATTAAGTGCTGACTTAGACTCACAATGATCATGTCGTGACTTAGTTTAAAGAATATCTCCTTGAATATTAATTCACAAAATATACCCCCCATGCCACTACCAGGCTAAAATGCTATATTTTTAAAAAAATATTTTATATATTAGGTTTTATACTAACAATACTAAATAATGCTAGGTATATATTTAAGTTTGTAAAGCATTTTATTGAATAAAATAAATGAATGAACTTTCTAAGTTAAATGATTGAACACTTTGATAGCCAACTAAATAATTTTAACATGCCTTAGATACAGAGTTTGTATTATCTAAAAATGATGCTAAATATGTCATTAGCAAAATTTTATAAATCTAAACAGGTTTTTTTTTGTTTGTTTTTTGTGTTTGTGTGTTTGTTTTTTGAGATGGAGTCTTGCTCTGTCACTCAGACTGGAGTACAGTGGTACAATCTCTGCTCACTATAACCTAGGCCTCCCAGGTTCAAGCAACTGTCCTGCCTCAGCCTCCCAAGTAGCTGGGATTACAGGTGCCCACCACCACGCCTGGCTAATTTTTGTATTTTTAGTAGACACGGGGTTTCACCATGTTGGCTAGGCTGGTCTCAAACTCCTGACCTTAGGCAATCCACCCGCCACAGCCTCCCAAAGTGCTGGGATTACAGGTGTGAGCCACCACGCCCAGCCCTAAAAAAGTTTCAAACAATTGCCTTAACTTTGGAAATAGTATTTTACAGAATGCCTCAAAATGCTAGTATACTAAATATTCTAAAATGTAATTTAATAACCATTAGTTAATATAATACATGTCAATTCATTTTGATTTTATAAAAATTGCTAAATGACATGGATCCTAATTGTGTAATATACTTTGTTCAGAAATATATTGTAAAATGACTGGAAGGACTATCAATACTAATAAATACATGTAAGTTACAACAAACTATAGATTAAATCTATGTGATTCTTGTCTTCGACACAAACTTGAGTCTTGATTTGCTTTCAGATGAAAATTCCAAAAACTAATGCTTCAGAGTTTCAAGATAAGAATTTCTAAACTTCTCTCTTCCTTTTCTGCTTTCAACCTCTCTTCTCTTCTATTCTGTCTTTTTACTATTCCTTCCATTCTCTATCTTCCTCCTTTCCTTCCCAAATATTTTAATTCAAAAGCCAAGGGGCCCAGGAAGGTAGGCATCTGCCCGAGGTGAGGGATAGGTCTGCAGGGGCCACAGCAGCCCAGGGTGAGATACTGGAGCTGGAGTAAGAAGAGGAAAACAGCCATATTCAAGGTGGGGATGATGATGTACACAGAAGCACTCTTTAACAAGATGCTTTAGTTCTGAGCGGAATGAGAAAGGTATCTGTGCAAGGATGAGGGCTAGCAATAAGAGTCTGGTTATATATAAGAACTTGAAATGAAAAAATGCATTAGGAATAATGAGGGTAACGTTGGAGAAGGAATTACAAATAAGGAAAGGGAGAATAGAATGGACAATTTGGTAGTGAATTGGAATTGAAAATATTGGTGTGTGAATTCAGTTTTTTAGTGTAAGTAGCAAGATATAGAAAATAAATACAGATATAAATGTGTATATGTGCTCTGGGGACTGTGGTGGGGTGGGGGGAGGGGGGAGGGATAGCATTGGGAGATATACCTCATGCTAGATGATGAGTTAGTGGGTGCAGCGCACCAGCATGGCACATATAAACATATGTAACTAACCTGCACAATGTGCACATGTACCCTAAAACTTAAAGTATAATTAAAAAATAAATAAATAAAAAATAAATGTGTATATGTGTATGAATGCATGTATGTATACACCTACACCTATTTTCTTGATCTGTTAACTGAGATGGCAAAACGAACAACAGTGTCCTTGTAGCAAAGAACATATCTAGCAGTCAGACTGGTTTCTAAATACCATGTTCTGGGCCGGGCATGGTGGCTCACGCCTGAAATCCCAGCACTTTGGGAGGCCGAGGCAGGCGGATCATGAGGTCAGGAGTTTGAGACGAACATGGCCAACCTGGTAAAACCCTGTCTCTACTAAAAATACAGAAAAATTTTGCTGGGCATGGTGGCTGACACCTGTAATCCAGCTACTCAGGAGGCTGACGCAGGAGAATTGCTTGAACCCAGGAGGTGGAGGTTGCAGTGAGCCAAGATCATGCTACTACAGTCCAGCCTGGGCAACAGAGCAAGACTCCATCTCCAAAAAAAAAAAATAATAATAATAATAATTAAATAAGTAAATACCATGTTCCTCCATGGTTACCTGCAGAATGGTTGATTCTAGGCTTGGCACAACAGAAGTAGTAGGTAAGTCAGAACATTTGGTTTTGCCAGAAAGTAAGGAAGTGCTCAAAGAATGATGATGACATGTCATGTCATAAGAACACAGAAATCGGCATGAAAGGGTTTCCAATGGCAAAATCCAAGATAATATAAATATGAAAACATGACAGTAGTAGATAATAATGCATTGAATAAAATGGGAATTTATGAATCCATACTGACATTAATCAATTAAGTAAATTAATTTGATTACATTAAATTGATTAATAAGGATATTTTGTGGGGCCATATTTTGAAACTCTGTAAATATCTTGTTCCTGATGAATCTTTCAAAGAGGAGAATATAACTTTCCTGTGGAGAAGACCCAAAGTTCCACTTTAATCAAAGAAATTCAAATTAACATTAATGAGACCAGTTGATACTGTGAGCCCCTGATAGCAGGCAATGGGAAGAATTCTGTCATTTCTGTTTCATTTCTGCCAAAGGTGCAAAAGTTGAATCTAATCATTAGAAAGACCCAATATATTTACTTATTCGCTCAATCTCTCTGTATATACCCAATCTCCCAAGTATCATGGCCACTTGATTGGCCCCAGCTCTGCCATTATATTCTCAGTTTCAGAGTCCCATTGGTCCTCAGCCCTACTGCTTCCTCCAGGGAAAAAGATGCTCTACCTCCTATCCCAAGTTACATTAACTTCAGCAATTTTTATTTTAATTTTAGTTTCATCAAATGTTTCTGCTAACAGATGAAAACAAATGTATACTGGAGAGACTGTAATACATGGAAAGTACCATCCAAAATTGTTGCATTTTAGTTATGATAAATACCTATAATTTTCTGTGTTATTCCTAATGGGTAGAAAGATGTTATGAATGGGATCATAGTGCCCATATCTTGCATTATTAAATAATATAATCAGTTTCTCTAAATATTTCCTAAATTTTTATACCAATAAACATCCTTTTGTTGGTATCATTTTAATGTCTGCATATTATATTTCATGTTAATTTATTTAACTGATCTGAAATTTTTGGACATTGAAGATGTAGCCAATGTTATCCTATCATACACGAAATGTATACTTTACATAAAGTATGTTTATGTATGTAAACATACATAATGTGTGTTTATGCATGTAAATACACATAATGCATGTTTATGTATGTTTATGATGATTTCTTAGGATGTGGAATTTTTGGAACAGAAAACATTTATAAGATCACAATATTTATCACCAACATGTTCTCTAGATGTATTGTAGTCATTTTTACTCCCACAAAAAGAGTTTGGTAGAGCCACTTTCTCCACAACTCTTTTGTATAGGCTACTACAATTTTAAAAAATATTTTCAATTTGTGTTCTTACTTGTTACAATAATCTTTGATTTGTGTGAGATCAAGCATTTTAAACATGTTTATTGGCTTTTATTTTTTTCGTGAATTGTTTGTAACCTTTCTAAGCTTTCTTTAGAAAGCTGTCTCTTGAACATTTATATCCTTTTTCTGAGTTCACTATTAATCCTAATCAAATCTTGTATTTCTCTATTTCAAAACATCAAAGTAATAGTCTGGGGATTATCATTCTGTCCTTGAGAAGCCTGTAGTGCAGTGGGAGATGCAGACATGCAACAAGAAGCATGATACAAAATGAAGAGTATGTTATCAAACGCTTGTAAAGTTTGGTATGGGAATATACTCACAGAAGTTGCTAATTCTCCCTAGAGGGTCAGAAAAGACTTCAGAAAAGAGACTACATTTGAGTTGGACTTTAAGGAGAAATGGGAGCTTTCCACGTAGACAGGCAAAGAAAACATCTAGGGCAGAGAGAGAACCATGATCAGACACCTGAAACTATGGAAGTTAATGACATGTTTATAAAATTACAAAGATTCTGCTATGGCTAGAATTTGAGCCACCTGGTGTAACACATACACAAACACACACTCACCTATCTGTCTGTCTACCTATCTATCATCTATCTTTCTATTTTATGTATCCCAAATTTTCCTTTCTAGCCATATATAGAGATGTAAGACTTTCACACCCTATTTCATTTATCAAATACTGTATTAAAAGAATAAATGTGGAAGAGATATTCTCTTTTCTAATAGCTACTGATGAAAACACTTTCGACTGAGTTGTACTTTTTAACTTATCAGCCCAGGCCTTATAATTAGAGATCCTTTATTCAAGATGATTTTTAATAATGATCTATTCATCTCTTCATTTATGTTTAGTGTTTTTAGAGAACCCACTACTATGGATTGAATATCTGTCCCCTCCAAAATGCATGTTGAAATTTAATCCCCAATGTAGCAGTATTGAAAGGTGGTGCCTTCAAGAGATAACTAGGTCATGAAGCCTCTGCTCCTATTAATGAATTAATCCATTTGTGGATTAATAAATTAATAAACTTTTATGGGAGTAGGACTAGTGGTTTTATAAGAAGAGGAAGAGAGACCTGAGCTAGCACACTCAGCCCGCTCACCATGTGATGCCCTGAGCCACCTCAGGACTCTCCAGAATCCCCACCAGCAAGAAGGCCCTCCCCAGAAGTGACACCCTAGCCTTGAACTTCTAGCCTCCATAGCTCATAACTATAAGAAATAAGTTCCTTTTTAAAATAAATTATCCAGTTTCAAGTATTCTAAGCAATAGAAACAGACTAAGACACTTAATGTGTGTTAGCAAGCTATTTTAAAATTCAGAGACTCGCTTTACATTAATTGCTTTTAACAAATGTGTGAGATTCTTATGGATATGTCACAACTCTATTGATAAGAAGATGTACTTATCCAAATGGAACAATAAGTAGTCTTTACACTTCCTACCAAAGGTTTCTCATAAAAACAAAAGTAACGCTGTAAATGACACTCAATTTTGATGGCCCAAACCCTTTTCTTATGTTTCTATTCTTTAAACATATTATATTACCCTGTTTCCTAAATATCTATTAATACACTTACATAGAATTTCAGTTTTAATTTAAAACACAGTTCTTTTCCGAGTACATAAATATCTCGGGCTTCTTATCCTGTGTGTGCTCCTTGTCTATCTAATTTTGAACAAGTGTGCCGCATGCTAGTTTTAGCCACACACTATATCTGAAACTTTACAAATATATTTTAATTAATTTCAATTCTTAAGCCTACAGAAATACATCAAATCATAAATTTATAAAATACTTAGCTGAACTCCTACTCTGTGAAGGCTCTTGGAAGGTGCTGCAGGAAATACAATTTTAAGGCAAAGTCTAACAACTAGAGCAATTTTCAATACAAAGTCAATACCAATTATGAAAAATTAAATAAAAACACAGAAGTCAAATAACAATCAAGAAAATTATTCAAGAGTTGTCACAAAGCAAAATATGATTAATTTCCAAGCATGCTGCATACCCTAGATGTATAACATTTCAGACAAAAAGAATTCCTAATGGAACGACAATGACTTTGAAAGGCATCTTCTTCATTTTCAGAAAATAAAGCCAATGGTACTTATCAACATCAATTAAATATTTTTCCTATTTTGCAGAAGATCTTTTATTTATTTACTTTCTTTCTGCCATTTCTTCCCATTGCCATATCTATGCAAAAACGTGGCAGCTTCAGTGATGGTGGAGCCCACAACTTCCTTTGAAACATAAATTTCCGTCGAGTGTCTCAACTTTTCCTGACCACACAACTGATTCCACCATTTTGGTTGAGTTAACAGTTCCCTGTCAATTAAATGACTGAATTACTTCCTTGTGTCACTACATAGATTTATACTAGGTGAGATTCTCAGAATTTCTCCAGAGAAGCCCACCTATTGGCCATAACACCAGCATACACTCAACAGCTGGCTCCATGACACAAATACTGCGAGTGTTAGGAGACTAAAGTGAGTTCTGGGTTTCCAATTTGCCTACTGCCAGTGTTGGATGTTTCCTCCAAATTCAGTCCCTCCCAGTGTGAACCCAGTCAAAACATTTCCACTTCTAGATTAATTCTGTACAAGGGAAAAGATAGTAGTAACATGGCAATTTGAAGAATGAAGAATCTTAAAAAATTGTGAATTTTAAGTTCAAATGTTATCATTTTTTATAACATACGTTCAATCTAGAAATAAAATTTATTTTTCCTTTGAAAACCATTATTACTTATTATATGCCATATAATGATTAACTTTTGGGAATGTATTTTCATATATTTGTACATATTTATTTACGAATAAATGAATATATGTCTGTGTATGTATTTTTCCCCATGTAGGTGAGTAAAAATGATCATAATCCAGAATTAAATATAGCCTTAATAATATTGTGTTGGATGCTGGCATGAAAATCATAGGCAATATTTTGAAATTGGGGAGCTGTTTCAAATTTCTAAGTAGCAGAAGTTAATGGACATTATTCAATGAGATAAAGATGCCAGAGAAATTCTTATAGGCAAGAATTTTATTACCTAAGCAGGTTTTTCCTTCTCACACCATATAACATAATGCATTCAGCTAGGCCAGGTTTGCAACATAATATAATTATGGACAATTTTCCTACAGACCCACATGGAAGGTTTTTAAAAAAGTAATCAACAAGGATGGAAGATTCTGAGGATGTGCATTTATAAATTTAATGACTGCTCTGTGGAAAGCTGAAGTAAACACCAGACCACTTGTCTCCTATCCCTGCTTTTAGCTGGAATGCAGTTCTACGTGAATAGCATAGGCTCTACCTCAGCTTCTTAGTGCTTGATTTGTAAAATGAGTGACTGCCACATGGAACAGTGTCATTTTTATGGAGGCAGCCTAGCCTAACAAGGATAGAACTCCTAGTGGTTGTTCAAGACAACTGTGATTTGGTTTTTGTTTTATTGACTCTAATGAGAAACTATAAGAAAAAAAATCAGACTTTGGGGTATCAATTTGTTTATCTACATTCAATGGAAATAATCTCTGCTGTTCCCTATGGCAGTATCTCAGATGACACTGAATTTTTACTATGTCATCAGCTAATGGGATAATAATACACCTTATTTATTTTTTTATTATTATACTTTAAGTTTTAGGGTACATGTGCACAATGTGCATGTTTGTTACATTTGTATACATGTGCCATGTTGGTGTGCTGCACCCATTATCTTGTCATTTAACATTAGGTATATCTCCTAATGCTATCCCTCCCCCCTCCCCCACCCCACAACAGGCCCCGGTGTGTGAGGTTCCCCTTCCTGTGTCCATGTGTTCTCATTGTTCAATTCCCACCTATGAGTGAGAACATGCGGTGTTTGGTTTTTTGTCCCTGCGATAGTTTGCTGAGAATGATGGTTTTCAACTTCATCCATGTCCCTACAAACGACATGAACTCATCATTTTTTATGGCTGCATAGTAATCCATGGTGTATATGTGCCACATTTTCTTAATCCAGTCTATCATTGTTGGACATATGGCTTGGTTCCAAGTCTTTCCTATTGTGAATAGTGCTGCAATAAACATATGTGTGCATGTTTCTTTATAGCAGCATGATTTATAATCCTTTGGGTATATACCCAGTAATGGGATGGCTGGGTCAAATGGTATGTCTAGTTCTAGATCCCTGAGGGATCGCCACACTGACTTCCACAATGGTTGAACTAGTTTACAGTCCCACCAACAGTGTAAAAGTGTTCCTATTTCTCCACATCCTCTCCAGCACCTGTTGTTTCCTGACTTTTTAATGATGTTCATTCTAACTGGTGTGAGATGGTATTTCATCGTGGTTTTGATTTGCATTTCTCTGTTGGCCAGTGATGATGAGCATTTTTTCATGTGTTTTTTGGCTGCATAAATGTCTTCTTTTGAGAAGTGTCTGTTCATATCCTTCGCCCACTTTTTGATGGGGTTGTTTGTTTTTTTCTTGTAAATTTGTTTGAGTTCATTGTAGATTCTGGATATTGGCCCTTTGTCAGATGAGTAGATTGCAAAAATGTTCTCCCATTCTTTAGGTTGCCGGTTCACTCTGATGGTAGTTTCTTTTGCTGTGCAGAAGCTCTTCAGTTTAATTAGATACCATTTGTCAATTTTGGCTTTTATTGCCATTGCTTTTGGATAATACACCTTATTTCTAAGGCAGTTCTCTCTAGTTTTTTTCTTTTTGGATTTTTTTTCTTTAGAGAGATATTTGTAAACTATTTTTGAGGTTTATTTTTGTCTTATTTTTGTTTTTGTTGTATTTGAAAATCTACCAGAGGCCATGTACAAGTTTAAAAGAAATCTATTATTATCTAGGGTATACCATTGGCTTCATTAGAGAGAGAATGTGGAAGGGGTAGAACAGTGTATCCACCTCAATACACCAGGACAACATATTTTCCCCAGAACATCAACAGAATGAGAATAAATGCAGATCCAAAATCCTATAAGGAACGTTCAGATTCATTGTTCTGAAACTGTCAAATACTACATGATCTTAAAATAAATGTGTCATGGATAGAGACTAAATATTTTACATTCTAAGTGTTATAAAGTAATGAAATATTTTTAATAATTAAATATGTTCTGCTTTCAATTTCATAAGATTCTTCTTTGGTGAAGCTCAATTACTGTCATACTTATCATCTCAACTCCATAACATTCCTTTGCACTTGATCCTAAAATTTCTCAAATGACTTTTAAATGAAAAAGTGTTAGAATCCAGTCCACAAATAAATGTGAATTTGTAAGAAATGCTTGAGAGAGGCAAAAATGTGATACATTAATACCATTTGATTGCATTTTAAACAATTTGTTGTTGATGGACGTTCCTCATACAACTACAAATTGTCAAAAAAATCTTTTTCATCTAATATTTTTCAGAATAATTTATAAGTGCCAAAACATTCTATAAAGTGAAGATTCCTCTTGCTGTCTTTCTCCAACTGTTTTTTTTCTAAACATTTTAATCCTGCAAATAAATTTTATTTTAAACATTGACTTAACTACATTATTTCAACTTCCAGAGATAAGATTTCATTTCCAAGTGCTCCAAATATGGATTTAACTCCTGGTCATTTATATGTTGGTCCAAGTAGAGGACAAGATGAAACCAGTTGCATTTTTTTTCCTTTTAGATGCTTGCAGCCACTCAATGACATCACATAGCTGTCTGAGGCTCTAGAAGGTGCTCTGCTGCTAAAAGGAGCATTATAAAGAGTGTTTGAATACCTCCATGGGAACAGAAAAGCAATGTGTGTGGAAGGATATTCAACAATGTGTTGTTGGAAGACCAAGTGCATTTTGCTGAAAACCTCCATAACAAGAACAGAGACTTGGAAGAAGAGATTCAAAGAGGATAAATATATATTAAATAGATTCAACTGCTTATTTGGGAAGATCTTTACTATACTAGATACTGTTTTACTTTGTCTTAACATATGTATTACACTGATTCAACTTCTTATCATAAATGGAATATGGTTGTTTTTTCTGTCAATAAATAGATCCATGCTTCATATTAAGGGAATGAACTTTGAAGTCAGACAAACCTGGGTTTATATCCTTGTACTACCAATTATTAATTCTGTTATTTGGGACAATGTGCTTAAACATTCTAAATCTCAGTTTCCTTTTCAAATCAATAATAGTAACTACTTCATAGAGTTACACTAAAGATTCAACAAGATAATCTATAGAAAGTACTTAGCACATATTTGAACCATGATAAGTACTACATAAATGATAGCTACTATCGGAGACCTATAGCAATCCCTTTTGAAAGAGTTCTTTCACACAATAATTCCATTTGAAGCCTTTTGATTAACATATAACAATGCTCGGCTTACGTTTCTGCAGTTTATTGTTAAATGATCACCACATTTCTTATTCACTATGATTTTCTGGTCAACATATGAGGATTCCAATTAGCAGTTACAACGAACCTGTAAGTTCCCAGAATTACTGAAAATGTTTTATTCGTAAGCAAAATGTTTGCAGTGAGCCTTTTAGTTTTGTGTTACCAGCTTTAGCACTAAATACTTTGCAAGCAACGCATGTAAAGGCTGTGAGCAACCAACTAAGAAATCACACAAGTTGCTATAGGATCATCCCAGTGCATGTAACCAGCTCCTATCATATTTGTCTCATATATTTACAAAGCTGTTTCTTCCCCTTAGTAGTTCCTAGGCATGCCTCGATTAATCACTAAAGGAGTCATTAGGTAACATCTGCCATAAAAATGCTCCCCAGATGATCAAATAGCAAAACTATAAAATGCCATAGAGCAGACACTGGGCCTTCAAAAACCTAAGATTCAAGGCTTTAACTCTCAAGAAACTTCTAATATCTTTGACATGACGCAACCTGTGATTTTTCTACAGCACAGATTTGCTCACTCTGATACTCTTTGAGTATGATATGTAGGAATGAGTGGCTTAACTAGCAAGGTGAGCCTCACAGTAATGTCAGCATCCTTTAGTGTTCTCTCTCCATCTTCATGCATATATATTGTTTTTATGTAGATGTCCATTTACTGACAATTGTGTAATATACAATGTATACTCGCCTATAAGTATAGCTGAGACATTTCTTGCTCATCTCAATAGAAATGCACCTCTCATATGTAACAAAATCAGTATAGCTCAAGCTAGGACTACTTACACAAATAGGTAGGACTGAATGTAACATGTTATAGGGTTTTTTTTAAAAAAAACCTTTTAGACATAATTTTGAAAATCAATTTGTCCAGATATTATACTGTCAATGAGATATTCTAATATAATATCTAATATAATGTGTCAATGAGATATTCTAATATAATATATGAGTCTGAGTTACTTTGTGGCTCTATTCTGCAATGTCATAAGAAATGCTGACCCTTTTCTATCATGATGCTTTGCTAGTCCTAGGCAGTTGACTTCATTTGAATGGTCCAGTAGACTCACCACTAGATCCCCATCCCTGCCAACAGGGAGGGGGTAAGGAAGAAGAAGACAACATGCCTCATCTCCTTAGACCTAGAAATTGCACACATTTTTATATCTCTTTACGTCTCACTCACCAGAACTTAGTTACATGGTCACTCAGCCCGCAGGGGAGGCTGGAAACATCATCTTAACTATTACAATGAAAAATGTGAAGATATCAAGGGACAACCACAGTGTCTGCTACTCAGCATGACTGTAATTTTAAATGTGAAGAGATAAATGTCACTCAAAATAAATGCATTTTAAAGGTATTTCGATAAGTATTCACTTTCTTTTAGTGTGAAACATAATGAAAATGGAATACATGAAGATAATAAGTGGTTATACTAAATATTCTTGATTTCAAAAACCAGAAATGTTGTTGTATTTCTCTCAATGGCACTGAACTAATGTTTTGGTGTTACTTGTGCTTCTCAGCCCCCCATTCATAGGAGTATCCCTTACTTTATTGGGTCCTAATTTCTAATAGTGAAGATCAGAGAAACAGTCCAATATGAAAGGATAATAGACTATTCAACATGTAAATAAATAACAAATGATGGAATGATCCACTGGGTATACATCTTGAATACAGAACAACCTGTTGCTCATACCTAGCCCCGTGCTCTGTACACACTCAACCCTGGAGAAATGACATGAACTCCATGAATGCATATGACCTAGCTGTGGGTCTCAACATGTGAGTCATAAAAATAGAGAAAACACACATGCCAATGTAATATTTATTCATGTACTTGTCTACTATTTAACTTTCTTCCTGCATCCCCATGCTTCACCCCAAATAAATGTCTAGAAAATACTTGAAGAGGCTTGAAAACAGGTTAAAGAAATAATATATATAAAGAATACTTATCAAACAAAATATCAAAAAAGAAAAATGAATATAGTAGAAAGTAAACACTAAAGTTTTAAAAGTGAGAAAAAGGAAATTACAATCAGTTAGATAAGAGAGATGAATGTGAGCAATGGTTATACAATTCTCTGGCAAAACACCAAGAGTAAAACTTCTAGTGCTGAAGAGGACGTTCTTAATAAGTAAGCTCAGCAAAAGGTCTTTCACTAATTTTAGGACAAACTTAAAATTCTGATATTATTGGTTGTTATTCAAAATTATATGTGTTGGTGCTCACGTTCAATAAAGCAGTTAAAAATTTCTACCCACTGTGTCTAATAAAAATAATAAAAACCACTATTAGAAGGCAAGAAAACTTTTATGCACACAGATACACACTCACATTGTAAACAGGATGTCAAAAATCAGAGTATCTTTATAATAATTGTCTTTATATCTTTAATCCTGTGGTCAGTTTCTTCTTACTGAAAGTCAAGTTTCATTTTTATTTTTACTCTAGGATGAAAGAAAAAGAGTTAAGGGTGTGGAAAAGGGTTGGTCTCCTTGAAGCATTCCATTCTCATGAACTATGCAGATTTGACAAGATGTGACTTCTTACCTATGTGGTGGAAAAAGGTGTGGTAAACAGCCCACTTGACATGCTGTTATTTCTTGCTTTTCTTTTCTTTTTATTATAGCCTTTCCAAATGACCTTGAGAGGAAATTTCACAACCATTTAGCTTTTTTTCTCTGAATATATGGTGCTTCTTCTATGGTACAGTGATATACTTTATCATTAGCTATAATGACTGCTTTGTTTGTTTTTGTTTAAAATTGTATTCTTACTTTAGGCTAGGTTATATCATTTTTTAAACTGTCTCAGTGAAGTATTTATTGAGTAACCACAAATAAAACAGTCTAAATCTTTATCCTTCATTCATTATAAAACTGTGTTTTAAGAGTTTTCTATGCAAAAAGCACTATCTTAACATGTCCCTCATAAAATTGTTCCTTCCTCAGTTATCCTTGGGTAAATAGCACTGTCTCATTGGACCCTTCTCAGGACAAAAGCACCACAGACAACCTTAAGTCCTCTCTTTCCTTCACATCCACCTCCCATTATCCACCTCCCATCATCCAAAAATCAGGCTGGCATAACCCCTGATATGTATCCCAAAGCTGATGATTTCTCACCCTCTGCACTGCTGAAACCCTGCTCTCTTATCTGAAACTCCTAGGCCTTCCCAGCAGGCCCCTTCCACTCTTGCTCCCAATAATTTATTATGCTCTTGATAATCTTTCTAAAGCATAAATGGTATCATGGCACATCTGTGCTAAAAATCCTGCAGTCCTTTCCTGCTACAATTGGAATAAAATGCTAATTTTTTTACTTTGTTTACAAGATTCTGCAAAAACTGACTGACCCCTGTCTTTCCAACCTCATCTTTTGTACCCCTCCCTCATCCCATTCAGTTTATTCTAAGTATTCAGACAAAGCTTATTTCTTTCATGGGGACTTTGCACCTTTATTTCCTCTGCCTGACTTATTCCCCCTCAAGATGGTGACCTGGCTGGCCTCATTTCCTCCTTTGGGTCTCAGCTCTAAGGTCACCATCTCTGAGAAGTCTTCTCTGAACACCCCAGCCAAAATAGGATGGACAAGAGTTGGAATAATCACACTCTAAAGATAAGGCTGCCCACTATATAATACCAATTATCATAGCTCTGTGAGAACTGTAAAGAAAATTGATTTTCAGTTGTGTGGACTGCATGTTGAAGAGACTAGGCAATTATAGTTTGAAGTCATAATAAAGCACAGTATTGTGAAAAAGCATGGATTTGGAGAAAAACTATTTGGGTTTAAATCCTAGCTCTTTCATTTACTACTTTTATTACCTTGAGAAAATTACTTAACACGTTCTGAAACTTGGTTTCCTATCTATAAAATATATACATAGTATCAAAAGTATGGGTTTGCTGCAAGAATCACATAAAATAATATGTGTGCCTAGAATACAGTAGTTACCTAATGGAACTGGTTTTTTGGTTTCATCTGTTTCTTTTATTCTCATATTAGGCTTTCAATGTCTGTTGGTTAAGTATGCTGTATTTACTTCTCTGAAGGAAGAAGTAAGTAGTCTACAACACATCTAAGTAAGTTAGGATAACAGTGATTTCCAGTTATTCCAGTAATACACATGTCAAAGTCACCACATTCAATTTAACTTCTAGACGGATTCACACCAACATGAACAAGAAGGAATAAATGAGGGAAGGATGGTAGGAAGGAAGGAGGGAGGGAAGGAGGAAGAGAAGGAAGAGAAAGGGAGGGAGGGAGGGAGGAAGGAAGGGAGGGAGAGAGGGAGGAAAGAAGAGAGGGAGGGAGGGAGGAGAGAGAGGAAAGGAAAGAAGGGAAGGGAAAGGGAAAGGGAAAGGAAAGGGGGAGGGAGGGAAGGAGGAAGGTAGGAAGGAGGGAGGGAGGAAGGTAGGAAGGAGGGAGGGAACAAAGGCAAGGAGTGCAGAATTATCTTATTGGGTGGTCCAGCCTTTTAAATATCTGAAAGTAATTTTTAAAATTCAACTTATATAAGAATGTGTCTGTTCATAAAGAGATGTGAGGCATTAGACACTCTGAGGTGCTACGAATACTATATTATAACAAAGGCTAAGATAAAAATCTCTGATGTTATGGATTTTGCACCACGTCACCTTAGAATCAAATCACATTTCGTCCTCCTACTCTTTACCCCACATGGTAAACATGGGGTCAGAGGTCTTGGATTCTGTTCTGACCTCTACCTATCATTTATTATGTGGTTTGGGGCTAGTGACAGCTTCTCTAAATGTTAATTTCCAAGGCATTGTACATGGTTATTGCTGTTAAATTAAACTATATTTGGCCTGAGGATGCCTCCGTACTTAATAGGCCCAATATAATGTACTACAACCAAGTAACTTACTTAAAGCCTAATATAGGAATATACTTTTGTAACAAGTAACTGAGTCTCAGCCAATCACATCAGCCAATCTTCAGTCAATCACAGGCTGTCAAGTGATCAGGCCATATTCAAACAAGGCAAATATCAAGCTGTTTCTGTATCTCACTCTCATTTTCTGTCCATAAACGTTGCCTGCCCACAATGCTAATTAGAGCTCCCTGAACTCTTCTGTCTCTAAGAGCTTCCCAATTAGCAAATCATTTCTTGTTCAAACAAACTGTTAAATTTGTCTAATTTCTTTTAACACATCTAAGGTCCCTATAGTTATAGAATACTATGATTTCATGATTATATGGAACATCCTACTGTCTTATTATGTCAAGTATATCATCATTTTACAATTTTACAATTATTTATTTCCCACATTAATATTTAGAACTAAGTTGAAAAATGAAATATTTTTTGGAACACAATTATCTTAGTTTTCTTTCTTTTACTATAAGTGATGGTCTGAGATTTTCTCCACTAGATGTTATATTCTCCTTTAAATTTCTAAATGCCAATGTACATGTTTGAGAGGCATTGCAATATCCAGAACTTTCTCTCTTGCCCACCAAAAAATAACCAAGAAACATTCCTGTGTGGTCAGTTGTCTGTGCCCAAATACCATCGTCATTTAAATAAAGACTGACTACTCTTCCCAAAATATACATCTATTATCATCATTATGATTATCCGCACTGATGTCCCAATATGTCCATTTGTTTCAATATTCATTTTTATACAGTTCAAATGCTGTAGTCACCATAGAGATCATTGTCAAGCAGGTGCTATGGCTCATTCTCTTATGGCTAAAGAAAACATTTTTTTAAAATATCCACATGGTATCCAGGTTACATCTTGATAATCACTTTAAAACTGAGCAAAAAAAAGGCAGATGGAATGTTGTTTTTCTTTTTTCTCCTCGTCTTCCTTTATTCCCTCACATTGTCAGGATGGCTCCATCCATTCAGATGGCAGGACTGTTCTGAATGAAGGCAGACCTGCACCTTCGGCAGTCATCTCTCCAGTTCAATTATGGTGCTTTAACAGGGCTAATTAGCATTCCTCAGAGCTGGAGTTCTTTGAGTGACAGGTAACCATGGAGAGTCACACTCCTGTAGGTGATCAGCAAGAATCTATCTTTTCTTTTTAATTAAAAATTAGAAAAGCCTTAAAGAAAAAGCATAGCATTTACTAACGTATGCTGTTAGCCCAAGGTTGCCATGCTGGAAAGAATAACAATAGTGTCAGAAGAAAACTAATGCCATTTCCAAAGGAATAGAGAAAAATATCATGGTAGTCAGATACAAGAAATATGTTTATCATCATCCCTGATAACAGATACCCAAAAGGAAAACACAAAATAGCAAAAGATCATCTGTTCCTGAGAGTTTATTTAGATAATAATTTTCTTCCCTTCAAAATTTGAGAAATACTATTGTATTTATTAACAATAGTTGTGTTCTTTCCTATCATTTAGAAAGTATTAGAACTAGAAATTTAGAATTGCATATGCAGTTATTACCGAATAAAACATTCAGTAAATGTCAATTGCTGATGATAAGAGATATCATAACAAAATTAAAAAGTATTAATAACCTATTCGATCCTAGGAAAGATTAGAAAAATTCCATAATGCACCAGTATTAAACCTGATCTTAAGAACTGATGTCAGCAGACAATATGTATCTGTCCAACAAAGTGTGTTTTCTAAGTAAGGCAGACAAGTGAATTAAATATTGTCACCTTAGCTTGGTAGCTCAGTTTCAGGAAAAAAATAGACAGAAATTTTATAACATTTTAACAGCATATCAAGACACTTTTTCTATTCAAAAACAAATAAGTAAATAATCTGAATAATCAGAGTCCATTTTAACTTTCCCAAAACTGAAAAGGATACTGTTCTATTTTCTTTTGGTTCTGTTCATCTTATAAAAAATGTAATTTAACATGCCTCTCCCTTCCTGTTTTTACCCCAAAGTAGGATTATTATAAAAACACTCTATGCTGTTACTTCTGGAAGGCATAAAGCCAGGAAGCTCTTACAGTGTTATGGGAATGCCTAATCTCATGAGCTTGCCAGCCTTATTTAAACTATGAGGGTGGGAAAGGATGCAAATCACGTCACAGCAAATTCTTCAACTGTTAGTTCAGAACAATTTCCATTATGAAGAATTCACTAATAACACAAAATGATAAAATCAGTTGTATTATTCTGTAGGTTAAATGAAGAAACAGATTTTAATTCCAAAAGACTGTCCCCCATAATTTGGGTCATTGTCCATCAAGTCATTTGTTTAATTCTGTTTATTTGAATTTGGTTTCTTAATAATTCCTCAAATTTTCAATTTTCTACAAGAATTTTATAGAAAATAGATTTCCCTCTCAACGTTTATAAACTTAGCTTCAATAAATTTAACTTGCTAATTACTATTCACTTTAATTTGAAAATACAAAGGATGATTATATCCCAAGAATCTCAAAACTTTATTTTTTCCTGAAATTTTTTCCATAGCCAATAGAATTCAGATATAAGAATAAGAATGTCTCATGTTTAATAATATGAAAAAGTTATATTCTGAAGCATTTTATTTTGTAGCATACTATTTTTGAATCATAATAGAGAGAGGTAGCTGTTGGTTCTATATGTTACTTCCTTTGATAGCTACTACTTCCATGCATAATGTATATCAATTTTATTACTAATAATGAAACCAAATTAGTGGAAATGCTGAAGTGAATGGAAAATGCTATGCATTTAAAACAAACCCATTAAGAATCAATGCCCCATTTTGTTTTAGAAATAACTGACAATTTCCAATTATTTTTAAAACAGCAAATTGAATTATTGGATCTTTAGAACTGTTTTTATTCACTTTCAATACTAATTATTTATAGGCTAATCATTCTTAGCTCTCTGTCTACATTTTTCTGCAGATGCTATAAGAAAAATTTTTCAAGTTGAACCATGTTATGATAGATTATACTTATTTAGTAAAAAGGAGACAGGAATGGTTGAGTGCTCTGAACTGTTGACATGGCTGATCGCTAATCACTTTACATCTTACATGAAGTACTGCTTCTTCCCTACTATGACAGACAGAAGAAATATGCTTGTAACAATGGTTACTAACATTTTTTCAGAAAATGTTGATAACCCAAAGCTAGCTGCTGTCCCATCATAGAATATTTTGTCTTGTTTTCCTCCTGGATGTAGTCCTTCAGATTTTCCACAGTGATTCCCTACATCCATAAAAGGTCAAAAGCATGAAACCGCCTACTGATGTAGTTTAATATTCACATTTTATAGGTGAAGAAACTGGGGCACAGAGAAGTTAACTTACACTCAGGTAATTAGTTTCAGGGCTAGAACTGGAACCAAAACTCAAGATTCAGAGTTCCTGCATCAACAACTTCTCCAAGGATAATTCCATTCTATTCTGCACTCTCACTAGATTCCGTATCAACTTGTCATGAGTTGACTCAGAGAATTGACTCATAGCGTCAACAATAGCACAAAAGCCATACCTTGCAACATCCTGCCATACAACACCCTCTTGCCAGATCCAAGAACTTGCTTACTTCAGTGTCATTAACTTATGAAGATATCGATTCCCTAACTTGAGCTGACAGGGCATCATTGTTCTTTACCTTTGTGACTCACATTACTTTTCTCACATTGCTTTTATAAATACTCTGCTTTTGCCATATTTTATCATAAAACATTAGTCTTCTGGTTGGAGGGGGTTGGAAAGAAAGCACTTTCTTGACTCCCTAAGATACTACAATTTTGGACATATCATGATTAAAGAAAAAATTGAAAAATTTAAGTGGTAAAATTAAAACATTAAACAAATAAGATGTTGCCTAAGAAAAATACACAATTTTATTATAAAGACAGTACAAAACAATAGTGTATTTGAAAACTAATAAATATCCTTCAATGCATGCTTTTTGACCTGTTAATTAGAAGAGTATATGCCGGGTTATTTTTCTGTAGTTAAGACAGGTAGGAAAACCCACGACACAAAAATAAAGATCATGTCATTTCTGTCCTGTGTGGAAAATAATATATTATGTTTTTTTCTATTAAAATCCTTTTTTCTTCCATTTTTAGTGACTGTAATAATTTTCTCTATATATCTATGAAGTTCTATATGCTAAACTAAGGGTTGTATACTAAACAATGTCTAATCTGTGCATATCAACATACATGTGGACACCTGTACACATACACACAACTAAATCACCATTCAATAAATTCGTCATTTTGGTTCTATTTGGCTGCCACACTCAAATACCTTTCAAAAGGATAGAGCCATGAGCAGAGAAAATGAAAAGACAGAAGTGAGGCCTAAAAGTAATTATTATTTGAGAAAAAAAATTAGCTGTAAACATTTGCATTTTTAAGAGGAGACTCATAGAGGACATAATGTTATTTTAAAATAATAATTATTACTGCTATTAAATTAATACATGAATGAGTATATTTTAAATCCAGTATGAGTCTTAACTTCTAGAATTATCTCCCTTATCCCCTAGTCCCACTTCACAAAAGTTGTCATTTTTAAACAGTTTTAGTGCACCCTTCCAGGACATTTTATGATGGCATATTAAAAACATCTGAAGTGTTTTCTTATTTTTAAAAAACGCCTCTTCTGGCTGGGTGCTGTGGCTCACGCCTGTAATCCCAGCATTTTGGGAGGCCGAGGTAGGTGGATCACAAGTTCAGGAGATCGAGACCATTCTGGCTAACATGGTGAAACCCCATCTCTATTAAAAAAGACAAAAAAATTAGCCGGGCGTGGTGGTGGGCACCTGTAGTCCCAGCTACTCGGGAGGCTGAGGCAGGAGAATGGCGTGAACCCGGGAGGCAGAGCCTGCAGTGAGCCAAGATCGCACCACTGCACTCCAGCCTGGGTGACAGAGCAAGACTCTGTCACAAAAATAAATAAATAAATAAATAAATAATGCCTCTTCTAAATGGCTGCAGGAAGAAAAGCAGGAAAAATAGGATTCATAGACAGGAGACAAATACACATAGTACCCCAATATAAGAAAGGAAGGTCCTTCTTGTGGAGGGTAGTAGATTTCCAACAAATGAGTTATTAGGTTTATCAACTGGTGGTAGAAAAGAAGCAAATCTTGTATCAAAGGATTCAAACATTGAATGAAATCTTTTATGTCCTCTCCAACCTCAAGAAACTAAAGAAATTAAAATATTCAGATTACATATATTTTAAATAATGTTTGAAAGCAAATTCTTTGTTTCCATAATTTTTATTGGGATTCAGTCAGAAGTTTCTTCTGACTTAAATTATTAAATCTATGAAGAATATTATCAGATTTTCTTAAATATAAAGAAAGAAGGGAGGAAACAAAAAAGGAATAGTTGAAGGAAACACAGAAAGGGAAGAAGAGGGATAAAATTGAAATGTCAAAAAAATCCTTTGCTTTTCAAAATTTCCAACAGAACTCATATAAGTAGTATTTAACTGTTACTGACTCAGGTCAGAGTAGGAAGAGGAGGAGAGGAAAATGAGTTAAATCAGACGAGTAGAAGAATAAAATAAGGAAAGGACAGAAAATTAGAAAGCGGAAAGGGAATGAAGACCAAGGAAAGGAGGAAGCTGTTGCAGTTGAGAAAACTGTCATAGCAACTGACATCAAATCAGGCAGTAGGACCAGCGACATTTCTTAAAGATAATATAGAACTTTGATAATGTGTCCCCAACAGTTGTCCAAAAATATTTATTTTCAAAAATCAAAGTAAATAGTTTTTAAAGTAATAGTAAATGCTTTGCTCTCTTTCATATTTTAATCCATGGAATTCATAAAATTGTTTTGTTTTGTGGATGAAAGTATCTGATCAGGTTGAATGTTTATCTTCTGATAAACTTTTCCAACTGTTCAGAGAATATGGTTATGATTATACAGCACTGTTGAAAATTAAAGTGCCTAAATTACCATACATGGTTAAAAACAGACCAGACTTTTAACATATGCAATGCTTTTTACCAGAAGTCGAATAACGTCAGCGTCTATGAAACTACTGAGTTCAACTTATTAATCTCTGTGCTGCTGAACAGCCCACTAAATCTCTCTTTTAAACTCACACATGCCCCCTGTGTCTGCTGCGTCCTAGCATATCCGAGAATGGATTTTCCATTGAACGTTACTGCCAAAGCACTTTTTCTTCTGGCACCAGCAGAGAAATTGAAATATACCTTATAGGCTTAAAAGATAAAATATATTATGGCTTAAGAGATAAAATATATTATGAACTTCAGCAACCCAAGAAAATGTGGGCAATGTGTAATAAAATTTGAGATGCATAGACACTTGGCTTGATCAAATTTTACTAATTCATTCAGAAACAACCATGTTGGATTCATCAAGCTTTTCAAAGTTGAGGTAACAGTTATTGAAAGCCATTAGTTCTATCATATACTTTTTCCCACCCCATTTGACCAAATAAATTCTTACCCAAGTGAGACCTTTCTTTAGAGCAAACTCTGAAGGGTTTGCAATTCAAAAAATGGTTTACAAAGGTCCATTGTTTTGTTCTGGCCACTGCTCAAAAGTAACTTCAAAATTGCCTTACTAATTGATCTATTTCACATCATTCTGAAAAATCTGAACTGGCTCTTTCAGGTTGGTGATCTCCCTGAAAAATCTGCTTGTAAGGCATATCTGTCTATACTCTCTCATGATGACACAGCGTCCCCTGCCTCTGTCAACTACAGCTAAGTACAAAGCACTGTGCTAAATGCTACTAAAAGAAGAATTAAGAAAATGTGTGGACAATCCCTGTTGTCTAGAATCTGAAAATTTAGTAACGGGATTTAAATATATACACACATATGTACAGGCCCACACAAATATATATTATGCATTATGGATGTTTATGTACATATATCGTGTATTATGGATGTGCATGTGTGTGTATATATATATATATATATATGTATATATACACACATGCACATATTCATAATTCAAGAAAGAAAATGAAAAATGCCGTGAGAAAGATAGAAAAAAGAAAGTGGTTTAGAAGCACAACTGAGAGGGAACATGTTTTCCCTGTGAGGCAAGATGAAGATGTAGTCAAAATTAGCAAAACCTTTATGGAGAAGGTGACATTTGTCTTTAGAACTGGGTATGGACCTATGGGCAGAAATGGGGAGGAAAATATTCTAGGCAGAGGGCACAGAAAAATAAAAATCCAGTATTGTTGGAGAAACAGTAAGTTGAGGAGCATGCTGTCCCTGAGGGAACATAATGGGGAACAGAAAGAATTCACTTTGATCTCAGGGTTTAGACTTTATTTTGTCCAAAGAAAAAAGCACCATTAAATGCCTTTAGAAGAAGTCTGACAGGATATGATCACATAATTCAGAGATTTATAGTCAACATCTCTCTCTCCTTATTCATCTCTCTAAGAAAATAAAATGGGTTAAAACATGGCCTACCAGTCTGTGTTGCTACAAAGGAATACGTGAGGCTGGGTTACTTATAAAGAAGAGGTTTATTTGTCTCACAGTTCTGCAGGTTGTTCAAGAAGTATGGCCCCACCATCTACATCAGGTGAGGACCTCGGGCTGCTGTCACTCTTGGCAGAGGGTGAAGAGGAGCTGGTGTGTGCAGATCACATAGTGAGAGAGGAAGCAAGAGAGAGGGAGGGGAAGTAACAGACCCTTTAACAACCAGTTCTGTCAGGAACAAAGAGTGAAAACTCACTCACCACATTTCCTTCAGGGAGGATATTAATCTATTCACGAGAGATCCACCACCATGACCCAAATATTTCCCATTGGGCCCCACGTCCAACATTGGAATCAAATTTTATTAATAACATGAAGTTTTGGAGAACAAATATCCAAACTTTAGCAAAGGCTTTCTCTGTGTCTTGTCCCTGCCTGCCTCATTTTAACTTCAGCACTATCTTCAATTGCTCCTCCAGTGTTGACTACTCTACTCTCCAGCACTAGAGCCTTTCCATTCTAAGGGTTCTTAAGGAATCTCAAGCTATTCAGTGGCTCAATTCCTCTATCTTGGGCATTTCTTCTTTCTGGCACACCTCTGCCCTTCCCCTTCTTCCCTACCTTCTTGTCCAGCTAGCTTATCCCAATTTATTCTTCAAGCACCTCCTTGACTAGATCCTCTCCCTTTCTTATTCTACATTTTGATCATACCTTGAATGTAACCCTATTGTAACACTCAATCAAACTCTTATAAGAGTATATTATCTCAACAAATATGTTTTAATTATATCCAGTGCCACAATTAAATTGGAGATTCTTTTTAAAATCCTAAATTTTAGAATTTAATTTTTGATAAAAACTTTTTTGATACAAACTATAATTTTGATAATATGCTTTGCAAGCAGAGCAGATTGAACCTCTTTGTAAAATATCTAGGCATACCTGAAAAGAAATAAGAAATATTACTTATCTCATTAAAATATTAGCTATACCTAAGATATTTACCACATAAATTATTATTCAATATAAAGCCTGTGAATGCAGTCATTACAAATTGCAAAAGTACAGTTTATGCAGAATAACTACAATTGTTATTTTGCATGAAGGGAGGAATATGACACTTTCAATGTTTTTTTTTTTTTTACCTTAGTTTGTTATTTCTGCATCTCTTTGTGACCATAATCCACAGGTTCATATAAATGGCAAAGGGCCAAATAGAGCAAATCTTAATTGTTTTCAGAGAAGACATGAGATCCAAGTTAAGTGATTCAAAACTATTACTGACTTCAAATCCAAGCGTATTTTCAGTAGTCATTAAAATAAGCACTATCTTATGTTCACGAGAATGAAAAGACATCAAGGCAGGCTAACGAATATCAGAGTGTGAGTTTAATAAAAACCAGGTGGCAGCTCAAAAGTCTATTTAAAATTCCCTACCTCTCCTTCCTATTTCCTTTTTTATTAGGTGTTTGTGGAGAAATACTGTCTACACAAAATTCTCAAGGATTTGAAAGTGGGGGAAAAAACACTCTATGATTAGGTGTTCAAAGTTTCTCAGAAAACATTCTGTTTTATCCTTGACCAAATCAACCAACACCACTATTTCCCTTAGCCAATAAAAACTCTAACCAATTTGAATAGTCTTTTCTCTCTTTTTCTCTTATCTTTCTACTTGATTGGAAATTGAACTTTTGTAAACAAAATTGATGAGCATTTGGTTGGAGCACTTATGCTAAGCAATTGTGAAGTTTCCACAACTATTTAGAGAGTGAGATCAATGAATCAAGCATTTTGGACATATATAAGAGTGCACAGATATAAAACTAACAATTCTATTGTTGCCTACAGATGAGTTCCATAATATGCAACTTGCACACTGCCTAACCTCTCCTTTTAAATAATTGCATCCGGATTTGGAATCAGGTAACTTCTATCTGCCATTCTTGGACTGTTTGATTCAGGGAGGATTTGAACCCAGTCCTCTGGCTCCAGAAATTGACCCACAACCCAGGCCTAGTTAATGAGAACATTTTATCTCCTGGCCACAGAGGCTGGCTCATGAATAAGCATGTGGCTGCACTCCTATGAGTCAGAAATAATCTTAAAATTCTGTTAACTATTTGGAAAAGCACTGGAAATTTCCAATCAGATTGCCAACCTTAAGATAGTATAAGCCTAGCATTATTAAACTTCTTGCAACTACCATACAGAGGGAACCATGAACGAAGCCAAAGAGAAGATACAAAAGAGAGAGGGGCAGTGCTTAAAGGGGGTGGAAGGAGAAAGAAAAATAATTGATTATGTAGTTTGAGGTCCAGGGCTGAGCCATATCTGAATCTATCTTTGTATTCTTCAGTTGAAGGAGTTGATAAATTACCATTTCTGCTAACAAGTATCTGAATTCGTTTTTACTATTATTTGCAACTGAATAAGCCCTTTCAAAACAAGTACCAGACAGAAACTGAAGAAAAAAAAATCCTGATAATTAAGTCAATGGACAGTATCAACTTATTCTGGCAGATGCTTATAGCTTCTGGATCTAACCATTTGGATAATTTGGCAGATTGATGAGAACATTAATCAGTAATAACGTATAAGCCACATAAAGCTTTTGTGTATTATTTGGGTTTCTCTTTAAAAATGTGCAAAACTTCTCTACACTTATATTTATTTAATTATATCAGTTTTGAGCTAGAAAGCTCTTAAAAATATAGACTCAGTCAAAGGAAAGCAGACAAGCATTGATGCAACTATTTGGCAGTCCAGGTGAAGGCATGTCATATTTACATTTTGTTTGTGAGAAACAAAATTATGGCATTTTCTCTATATTTACATTATGTTAATTTAATCTTTGTCTGAATGTCCTACTATGCATATTAAAATGTAACACAGATAAGGTAAAATTAAAAGGGGTTGGTGGGAAAAAGGAACGGAAAATTAACAAATGGAAGTAGAATAACAATGAATCAATTTTCACTCCCAGACTTTTCTTCTACCAACAATCTTAAATGTTTTTATCCTGTTCTTTGACAGGTACTTACATAAATTTTTTGTTGCAGATTTTAAAGTTAATGTGAAAGTGCTGGGATTTTAACATTTTAAGATCTGTGCTTGTTTTCACTATGGAAACAATGACATTTCCCTAGTTACACATTATTTTGTTCCTTGGCAGTTTTCAGCCTAAGAAATATAATTTTCAAACAAGAAACTGTGGTGTTATATGACACCAGTTTCCTTTTAAACAGAAAGTCTTTCAACAGACAAAAAAAACCTATGGCTATATATATATATATATATAAAATTGTAATTATATTTATATTATACAATCAGTGGTTTTAAATTGAGAAGAGTAAAATATATGCAGAACATAAGAATGGGCTCATAAAGAAATGTTTTTGTACATTTCCTCAGGCATTTTTGGCTACTCTTCCATCCAATGTGGAAATCTTGGAAGTAAGAAAAAAAATGTAATTAAAAGAATAAATTAGAGACTTTGTTCTCCTAAAAAGTGTCAATTTCAAATTTACTTGGGCAAAGGACTTACCCCAGGAGAGACTGTGAGAAATAGGAATAGTGCACATAAATATCAAAGATCATAAAAATAGACACATAGACATGAAGCAGAATAGAGAATCAGAAAATAAGCCAATACATTTAGGCCAACTGATCTTCAACAAAGCCAGCAAGAGTGTTCATTGGGGAAAAAACCCCATCTTCAATAAATGGTTCTAGGAAAATTGGATAGCCATATGCAGAAGAATGAAACAGGTCCCCTATCCCTTACCATATACAAAAATCAACGCAAAATGGATTGAAGACTTAAACATAAGAGCCAAAAGTATTAAAATGCTAGAACAAAAGCTAGGTAAACTCTCCAGGACTATGGTCTAGGCAAAGAATTTATTACTAAGACCTCAATAGCACAGGCAACAAAAACAAAAATAGACAAATGAGATTATATTAAACTAGAAAGCTCTGTATGGCAAAGGAAACAACACAGTGAGGAGTCAATCTACTGAATAGAAGAAAATGTCTGCAAACCATCTGACAAGGGACTATCAAGAATATACAAGGAATTCAAACTATTCAACAGGAAAAATACTTAAAATCCCATTAAAAAGTGGGCAAAAGATATGAGTAAACATTTCTCAAAAAAAAGACATACAAATGGCCAACATGTATATGAAAAAATGCTCAACACCACTAATCATTAGAGAAATGCAAATCAAATCCACAATGAGATATCATCTTACTCCAGTTAGAAAGCTGTTATTGAAAAGACAAAAAAACCATACACACACACACACACACAAAAAAAAAGCACACACACACATTTTGGCAAAGATGCAAAAAATACACACACACATTTTGGCAAGGATGCAAAAAATACACACACACATTTTGGCAAGGATGCAGAGGAAAGGGAACTATTATACAAAGTTGATGAAAATGTAAACTAGTACAGCCACTATGAAAAACAGTATGGAGAATTCTCAAAAGAAGCTAAAATTACCATTTGATTCAACAATCCCCTATTGTGTATCTACTCAAAGGAAAAAACTTCAATATACTAAAGGGATACCTGCACTCACATGTCTATTGCAGCACTATTCACAATAGCAAAGATATAGAATCATTTTAAGTGTTCATCAACAGATTAATGAAGAAAATGTATTATATATGCACAATAGAATACATTAAAGAGAATGAAATCTTATCATTTTCAGCAACATGGATTGATCAAGAGGTCATTGTCTTAAGTGAATTAAGCCAGGCACAAAAAGACAAATATAGGATGTTCTCACTTATGTGGGAGCTAAAAAATTTGATCACATGGCAGTAGAGAGTGGAAAGATAGATAACAGAGACTGAGAAGGATGAGTAGGGGGGAAGAAGGAGATGAAGCCAAGTGGGTTAAAGTACACTAAGACAGAAGGTATATATTCAGTGTTTGATAGCAGAGTAGGGTGACTATACTTAACAAAAATATATTGTACTCAGGTGATGAACCCCCTAAATACCCTGACTTGATCAGTATGCATTAAATACATATAATAAAATGTTTTCATGTACCTATAAATTTGTACAAATAAAAAATACATTTTAAAAAAAAGAGCATTTTTGAGTTTGGCCATGGCTTGATATCCAGGGACATCATCCGAAAAAAAAATCTCATAGATTTTGCCTACCTTTGTAAAGTGTCTTGTGAGTCAGCTAAAATTGAAGGTGGTGGTCAAAAAATGGGATGCTTGAAAAGACAAAGAGGAATATTATATAATGATAAAAGGATTAGTGCAATAGAAAAATATTGCTATACTAAATATATATGCACCTAACACTGGAGCTGCCGAATTTATAAAACAATTACTACTAGACATAAGAAATGAGATAGACAGCAACACAGTGATAGTGGGGGACTTCAATACTCCACGGACAACACTAGACAGGTCATCAAGACAGAAAGTCAGCAAAGAAACAATGGACTTAAACTATACCCTAGAATAAATTGACTTAATAGATATTTATAGAACATTCTATCCAACGACTGCAGAATATGCATTCTTCTTTTTTTTTTTTTTTTTTTGTTACCCAGGCTGGAATGCAGTGTTGTGATCTCGGCTCACTGCAACCTCCGCCTCCCAGGTTCAAGTGATCCTCCCACCTCAGCCTCCCTAGTAGCTAGGATTACAAGTGTGCGCCACCATGCTCTGCTAATTCTTTTTTGTATTTAGTAGAAACAGGGTTTCATCATGTTAGCCAGGCTGGTCTCGAACTCCTGAGCTCAAGTTATCCTCCCCCCTTGGCCTCCCAAAGTGCTGGGATTATGGGTGTGAGTCACTCTTCCTGGCCAGAATATACATTCTTTTCATCAGCACATGGAACATTCTCCAAGACAGACCATACGATAAGTCACAAAGCAAGTCTCAATACATTTAAGAAAAATGAAATTATATCAAGTATCTTCTTAGACCACAGTAGAATAAAACTGGAAATTAACTACAAAAGGAATGCTCAAAAGTATACAAATACATGGAAGTTTGACGATCTGCTCTTGAATGATCTTTGGGTCAACAATGAAATCAAGAAGGAAATTTAAAAATTCTTTGAGCTGAACAATAAGAGTAACACAACTTACCAAAACCTCTGGGATATAGTAAAAGCAGTGCTAAGAGGAAAGTTAATTGCATTAAATGCCTACATCAAAAAATCTGAAAGAGTGCAAAAAGAAAAATCTAAAGTCACACCTCAGGGAAGTAGAGAAAGAACAAACCAAACCCAAACCCAGCAGAAGAAAAGAAATAACAAAGATCAGAGTATAACCTAATGAAATTGAAACAAACAAACAAATTCAAGATAAATGAAACAAAGTAGGTTCTTTGAAAAGATAAATAAAATTGATAGACCATTAGTGAGATTAACCAAGAAGACAGAAGATCTAAATAAGCTCAATTAGAAATAAAATGGGAAATATTACACCTGATACCACAGAAATACAAAAGACTATTCCTTTATGTGCAGAAACTAGAATTTAGAGAAGATGGATAAATTCCTGGAAATATACAACCTTCATAGATTAAATCAGGAAGAAATATAAACCCTGAACATACTAATAACAAGTAGCAAGATCGAAACAGTAATAAAAAAAAAAACAACCCAGGACCAGGACCAGGCTGAATTCCATCAGATATTCAAAGAAGAGTAGTTACCAATCTTACTGAAACTATTTCAAAAGAAAAAGAGCAAGTCCTCCCTAAATCATCCTATGAAATCAGTATCACCCTAATACCAAAACCAGGAAAGGATATAACAATAAAACTATAGACCAATATCCCTGATGACCCAATGCAAAAATCCTCAGCAAAATACTAGCTAACCAAATCCAACAGCATATCAAAAAGAAAATCGACCATGATCAAATGGGTTTTATACCAGGGATGTGGGAATGGTTTAACATACACAAGTCGTTAAATGTGATAGATCACATAAACAGAATTAAAAACAAAAATCATATGATTATCTCAGTAGATACAGAATGTGCTTTAACAAAATCCAGCATTCCTTTATCATTAAAACTCTCGGCAAAATTGGCATAGAAGGGACATACCTCAAGGTAATAAAAGACATCTATGACAAACCCACAGCCAACATTGTACTGAACAAGGAAAAGTTGAAAGCATTCCCCTTGAGAACTGAAAAAGACATAAAAGAATGCCCACTTTCACCACTTCTATTCAACATTGTACTGGAAATCCCAGCCAGAAAAATCAGACAACAGAAAGAATAAAGGGCATGCAAATCGGTAAACAGGAAGTTAAATTGTTGCTGTTTGCTGATGGTATGACCATATACCTAGAAAATCCTAAAGACTCATCCAAAAAGCTCCTAGATCTGATAAATGAATTCAGTAAAGTTTCAGGATACAGAATCAATGTACACAAATCAGTAACACTGCTATACACCAACAATGACCAAACAGGGAAACAAATCCAGAACTCAGTCCCTTTTACAATAGCTGCAAAAAAAAAAAAAAAAAAAAAAAAAAATACTAAGGAATATACCTAACCAAGGAGGTGAAAGATCTCTACAAGGAAAACTACAAAACATTGCTAAAACAAATTATCAATGACACAAACAAATGGAAACACATCTCATGTTCATCTATGGGTGGAATCAATATTGTAAAAATGGCCATACTGCCAAAAGCAATCTACAAAT
The DNA here is from genome assembly GCF_000001405.40 of Homo sapiens. Classification (NCBI taxonomy): domain Eukaryota; kingdom Metazoa; phylum Chordata; class Mammalia; order Primates; family Hominidae; genus Homo; species Homo sapiens. The sequence goes on along the minus strand of NW_003315907.2, from coordinate 61,809 downwards.
TCAATGCAATTCCCATCAAAGTAGCATCATCATTTTTCACAGAACTAGCAAAAATCATTCTAAAATTCATATGGAACCAAAAAAGAGCCCACATAGCCAAAGTAAGACTAAGCAAGAAGAACAAATTTGAAGGCATCACGTTACCCAACTTCGAACTATACTACAAGGCTATAGTTATCAAAACAGCATGGTAATGGTGTAAAAAGAGGCATGTAGACCAATGGAACAGAATAGAGAACCCAGAAATAAAACCAAATACTTACAGTCAACTGATCTTAGACAAAGCAAATGAAAACATAAAGTGGTGAAAGGACACCCCAGTCAACAAATGGTACTCAGATAATTGGCAAGCCACATGTGGAAGAATAAAGCTGGATCCTCATCTCTCAGCACATATAAAAATTAACTCAAGATGGACCAAAGACTTAAATCTAACACTGGAAAGCCTAAAAATTCTAGAAGATAATATTGGAAAAATCCTTCTAGACATTGGCTTAGGCAAAGAGTTCATGACCAAGAACCCAAAAGTAAATGTAACAACAACAAAAATAAATAAATAAATAAAGGAGATCTAATTAAATTAAAAAGCTTCTGCAAAACGAAAGAAATTATCAGCAGAGTAAACAGAAAACCCAAAGAATGGGAGAAAATATTCATGAGATGTGCATTTGACAAAGAACTAATACCCGGAATTCACAAGGAACTCAAAAAAGTCAGCAAGAACAAAACAAATAATGGAATCAAAAGTGGACTAAGGAGATAAATAGACAAGTCTGAAAAGAAGATATACAAATGGCCAACAAACATGAAAAAAACTCAACATCACTAATAATCAGGGAAATGCAAATCAAATACCACAATGAAATACCACCTTACTCCTGCAAGAATAGTCATAATTTAAAAATCAAAAAATTATAGATGTTGGCTTGGATGTGGTGAAAAAGGAATCATTTTACAAAACTGCTGGTGGGGATGTAAACTCATACAACCACTATGGAAAATAGTATGGAGATTCGTTAAAGGACTCAAAGTAGAACTACCATTTGATCTAACAATCCCACCATTGGGTATATACCCAGAGTAAAAGAAGTCATTATGTGAGAAAAAAAACACTTGCACGTGCATGTTTTCAGCAGCACAATTCTCAATTGCAAAAATATGAAGCCTGCCTAAATGCCCATCAACCATGAGTGGATAAAGAAAATGTGGTATATGGCCGGGCACGGTGGCTCACACCTGTAATCCCAGCACCTTGTGAGGCCAGGTGGATCACGAGGTCAGGAGATCGAGACCATCCTGGCTAACACAGTGAAACCCCGTCTCTACTAAAAAAATACAAAAAATTAGCTGGGCGTGGTGGTGGGCGCCTGTAGCCCCAGCTACTCGGGAGGCTGAGGCAGAAGAATAGCGTGAACCCGGGAGGCGGAGCTTGCAGTGAGCTGAGATTGCGCCACTGCACTCCATCCTGGGCGACAGAGCAAGACTCTGTCCGGAAAAAAAAAAAGAAAAAGAAAAAGAAAGAAAGAAAATGTGGTATATATACACCAGGAATACTACTGAGCCATAAAGATGAACAAAATAATGGCTTTCACAGCAACTTGGATGGAGTTGGAGACCATTATTCTAAGTGAAGTAAGTCAGGAATGGAAAACCAAATATCGTATGTTCTCACCTATAAGGAGAAGCTAAGCTATGAGGAAGCAAAAGCATAAGAATGATACAAAGGACTCTGGGGCTTCGGAGGGGAAGAGTGGGAGGGGGTGACAGATAAAAATCTACATATTGGACACAGTGTACTCTGCTCGGGTGATGAGGGTGCCAAAATCTTAGAAATTACCACTGAAGAATTTATCTATGTAACCAAAAACAACTTTTTCCCCAAAACTATTGAAATAAAAAAAATTAAATTAAAAAAAAAAACAATGTGATGCTTGAAATCAAAAGTTTTGGAGGGGGAGCAGTGACTACTAATGACAAGGCCCATAGTTTGGTCATGGAAGCTAGAAACCAAAGTGAGAGTGAGAAAAAGAATTTTGAAGGTGATGTAAAAGAATAGAAGAATCAGTTAACTTGATCACTTATGTAGAGGTTGAAATTCCTGAAAATGCAAGCAGCAGAACTAAAAAATAAGATATTGAATGAGAAACAAAGTCTTCATGATTGTTTGTAGATGAAAGCCGTAATAATAAATGGTAAAGAAGAATACCATCAGCTATGAAAAAGCTAGGGTTTGGAAAAGTAAGAAAAGATAGTCATGCAACAGCAGTTGGAAATGAAAGTCCATATTTATCCCATCTCCTGACCTTGAAATAATGAGATATGAAAGGAAATGTAGTCTCTCTTTAACAGATTTTCCAGGGAAAAGGATGATGGGGGGACACTGCCAAATTTTACAGTAATTTAGTGAAGGGACTATTCAGAGAAGAGACTGATGGTTTAGAAGGGGGTTACCAACCAAGGGGTTAGAGTTCCAGAGGGTTTGGGGAGGAAGGAGGACAAGTGGGGATTTTAGACAGTAGTCTGAACCCAAAGTAAATTTAAAAAAATAAATCGACTCAGATCTCACAGCTCCCACCCTCCACATGCGCACACTTACCACTGTTACTCTGTTACCTCAAAGCTGAGTGACAAAGTTTTATTCTCAGTTGGGTCCATGATTTGTGGTGTCCTCCCTGGTTCATCTGTAAAATGAAAACAACATCTGTGATGTAAAATAAAATCGTAGGGGTTAATTTTCTTTAGCATATTTGAAATTAGTTACGGAAGGGAGGCCTTAGGACGAATAAGGTAGTATTATTCTTGAAATATAATTATTTTGTTATAATAAATCTTCTAGACAGGATTTGTATGATATGAAACTTTGGAAAATTTTAACCAACTTTTAGAGCTTTTTTTAATCTCACTGCACTGCATTTTTCTTGAGTACCTGACCAAAAAACTGAGGAGTTTCTTTTGTTACTAGTTATTTTACACTCTTCAGATATAATAAAAAATAATAACAGAAATGAAAGGTTTGAAGTCAGTAGGCTTTTCTCAAAAGAAGGCAAGATTTTTGTCTTCCCAGTGCTTAGGCTGTTTTGTCCTTTTGCTGCAAATCTAAGAAGCCCACTAAATGAGGTCCATTTTAAATGAAAATGTTTTAATATTATAATGTATGGTCTAGGGTTAATTTTTATTTATGGTGATATCTACCTTTGCTATAACTAAAATTTCCTTAATCTGATGAGTTACTGATCTCAAGGCACTCTATATCAATAATCTCATTTGATTCATAAAGCAATGTCCCAGTTTGGCATGGATTTGGTATAATTTCCCTTTTATAGATGAGAAAACTGACTTTTTAATGGTTAAAACATTTACCCATTTCAAAAAGTTAAAACTGGAACTCAGATCATCTGATTTCAAACCTGGGACTCTATATAAAATCATAAGACTTTCTCATGATAATGTCTAAGTCTTCACTGTTTTTTTAATTCAGTAAATATGATATTAAATACTAGTATGTATTCATTGTATCTTTTATTCTTAAAAAAAACCTAAAGCTCAGATGAATACTATATTACTTTCCTGGGTCTGCAGTAACAAATTACCACAAACCTGGTGACTTAAAATCACATAAACGTATTCTTTCACCGTTCTGGATGCCAGAAGTTCGAAATCAAGGTGTCAGTAGGCCATGCTCCCTGTGAAGGCTCTAGGGGAAAATCCTTCTTTGCTTATTTCAGCTTCTGGTGGCTGACTTCATCTTTGTGTCTGCATACTCCAATCTACTCCCTACTTCACATGGCCTTCCTTTCTGTGTGTCATATCCCTTTCTCTTTTCTTACAAGGACACGTCATTGGATTTAGGATCTACCCTAATCCAGGATGATATCCTCATCTCCAGATCCTTAATGTAATTATATCTGCAAAGACCCCTTTTCCAAATAAAGTCGCATTCAGTTTCCAGGACACAGACTTATCTTTTGGGGACACCACTATTAACCCACTATAGATGCTCTTTCCTAAAATATACCAAATCAAGACAGAAAGTGTAGTGTCCCTACATAACACCTGACATCTATAGTTGGAAAATGTTAGATAAGTAACATTTTATAGCTCCAATTTTGAAAGTCAGTTGGAATCTGAATAAGTAGAAGATATAAACCATCCATATGTGTTATACTAAAACCTTTTAAATACTTTCAAAAGTTAGCAGGTATTCAAAGTTTGCCAGTTAGAATTGTAATGGTGATTTTTTAAAATAGAAGTAAAGTGTTTACAGTAGTAGGGCTCGGGAACTATTACCTAAATTGATGTTCCCATTCAATAGGTCACAGTCAGGATATTTGGTAGATGTGAGCTCTGTTCACTGATAACCAAGTCTCCTTTCCTTCTGGACAAATAAGAAGAATATACATCCCTTCCTCCTGGAAGTTAAGCATGGCAAAACTGATAGGTATCACTCCCAGGAAAAAAATTTCAATTGTTGGCACTTAACTCTGTACCCCACTTTTTCTCTGCCATGAGTATTGGAAAATTGCATCGCTAAGGAAGGACAATACTGAGCCATCACATAGAAGACAGCTCAGCTGCCTGGAGAGTTCTCGAGGCTCATAGTAGACTTTGTATGAAACAGAAATCTTCATACGATAAGCTATTGAAATATGAGTTCTTGGCTTTTACAGCCTAACCTAATCCATGCTGACTAAAACAGTTATTTATGCTAGGATTGGATGCTGCTATGAAAAAAAAAAAAATCTCTAAAACATGTGGCATACACTTAGCGGTTGACCCTATAGGGCATGGGGATTGTGAATGGCCACCCCCCGTGGAGGCTATAAAGTGGCAATTAGTCATATGCAATGGCAAAGCATTTGGTAATATTATTACCTATGAAAATTTATAAGACAGATCTTATGCAAAATAAACTATTGCACTAAGAGAAAAACTAAAAAACAAAATCAGAGTGTCTGGGCATTGATGTTGTCTGCAATTGGCAAGGTATAATAAAATAGAAAAAGAGACAGTCTCAGAAAATAATAGATGAGTTTGCCATCAGGAATAAAAAGAAGTAGAGGTGTACAAAAATTTGAGGACTAGTGGGATTAGAAAAAGAAAAAACTCAGCTACAAAAGAACAAACGATAAAACTGAGAATGACTTTTGCGAAACAAAAAGAAGAAGTCTAAGCCTCAAGGCAAGGATCTAACCAAGGGTATTGGTACCACACCAAGTTAAAACTTGGGAATGGATTAACATGTCTCAGAATAAAGATATAATTTAAAGTAGAGGCCCCATCCAGCCTTTCAACTGGACAAAAATAGTTAAGGAAAAGAGACTAGGTGTATGACTCTGACACTGAACTTCAATAGATTTACTGGACAAGCAACTGCAAACACAAAAAGAGAGGAAGAGAGAGCATGAGAGCAAATATTCTAGGAATTAAACATTGAGAAAACTTGTGGGCATGGAATTGGTACATGGAGCTGTGCAGAATCAAATAGCTGAGAAGCCTATAAAACCTTTGAAAGAAATTCACTGCTAAAGAAAAGCCCTTGACTGGACTCAAAGAGATTGTGGCTATGTGAGACATAAAATCACCTTGGTACTTAACACTCCTCAGGCAGGCAATGAACTAAGAAAACTGCTTATTCCTCAAGAGAGACTTTTCCCCAGTGCCTATTACAGATGTGACGAAGTAGCATAAAAGATGAATTGATCCTTCTACAGTGTAGAACCAGGAGTCACCAAGAACAACAGACTGGGATTCTCTCCTCCCAGGAAACAGAAATGAGGCTTAAACAAGGAACATTTCCCACTCCCAGTAAAGACATTCCTCACAATGATTGTCGCCCCCAGCAGCTTGACTAAATTACCACACTTGAGTAACTGTGAGTTTCTGAATTGTCCTTATTCCTTTATATTCTACTGATTATGAAGGGAGAAAATAACTTTTGTCTCCATATCAAAGGTGTCCCATTCTTACCTGACTTCCAGGTACTACACAGACATCTTGGACTTCATGCTGTATGAAGAGCTTGCATAAGACTTTTAGAGGGTTGCTCTTATGGAGGGATTGAATGTAGGATTGGGAAACAAAAGAGGAAAGAATATTTGGTTATCAGAAGAGTAGTCTATGGCTGACTTTACAACTGTTTATCAATACCAATTCCTTCTCCTTTCAGGTATACAAGATAATCTTATTCACTTCCAGAAGTAAGATGTGACCTCTCGACTTGCCTTGGCTAATTAAATTTGAGCAGAAATGATGTGTGTCAGTCCTGAATAGAAGCATTTAATTGTAGGCACTTGATTTTCTAATGTCTTTTGCCTGCCCTGACAATTTTAGAGGCACATATTGGTAGAGATGCCATGCTAAGCAATCAAATGGCAGAACACTGCTCTGTAGAGTCTCCTAGACCCATGGAAGAGTGAAATAAGTGAGACTTCTTTTCTGTCTTAAGCCACTGAAATTTCTTTCTTTGTTATTGTGGCATAATTTAGCCAATCTCAATTAAATCAAGATGAATACCAAAATCTGAATAAATGTGTTTCCCAGTTTTCTAGCTTCTTGTTGTTATTGAACTCATTTTCTAAAGAACTGTTATACTTTTAAATAAATTATCTAATAGGTAATGTAACACATTGTAGTTTTAACCTGATAGTTTGCAATATGGTACATTATTTTATATCTGGTTAATATTTCTTTAAAAATAAGAGTAATTTCAACCATACTAAGAGCAAATTGTTTGATTAAAAATGAACAATTGCATTCTAAATCATTCTGATAAGTAGTGTTCTCCCTCATTAAAAAGAAAAAATTGTAGCTACTTGGGAGACTGAGGCAGGAGGATCACTTGAGTCCAGGAATTTGAGGTTGCAGTGAGTGATGACCGTGCCACTGCACTCCAGACTGGTCCACACAGGGAGACTCTGTCTCAAAAATAAATAAATAAACAAATAGGGAAGAATAATACTTTCAAGTGATTTAAAAAAAATATGCTTGGAACTTCAGTGTCATTAGCATATCGGCATTTCCTTTTAGCATAAACGCATCTATCTTAAAACCCAGGCATTTTACTTGATCTGGGGAGTGAAAAAGTTCTGTAGACCAAGAAAATTACTTAGCTATGAAATATGTGATAAATGCTTCGACAGTTCTGTATTTGCCCCCAGCTATAAAATATATTTCTTCTCCTCCCCAACTCTGCTGTCACTTTGAAAACCATCCAATAAATTGGTCATACCTATCATAGTTACTTCTAGGCAAGCGAGAGAGAGAGAGTGAGAGAGAGAAAGACATAATTTCTTGAATTTAGATCAGAGTACCTTTGCCTGGAACCAATTAATTCTTTAAAGCCACATTAACCCTCTCCAAGGCCAAATAGGAAATGCAAAATACCTTCTTACTGGTGTAAGTATTTGAAACAAACCTCCTGCAAAGTCATTGTTGTCAGAATGTCCTACTATCAGAAAGGGTAGATTCTGCAGTATCTTGCCAACAAAGAAAATTCTCCATAATATTGTTTACTACAGAAAGCTTAGCTGCCACTGTTTAGCTGAAGCCAAGAACTTTGTCAATTACTCTTTAGCTTATCCATGAGTCTGTGGGCATAATCAATAGTACACATTCTAGTTATAGTTATATTTTTAGGCAAATTACCTATGGGACCTACCAGTAGCTACCTACTAGTACAGGTTTCCAACATCCCCCAGTGGTAAACCAAGAGAGCTCCCAGAAGAAGGGTATTTACACCTTTAAGGACAGACTTATCTTGAAGGCTCACATATGGATCACAAATTGCCAGGCGTACATGCGTACACTGGGTCTACTGTGGGCCATACAGAATCACGTCCCAGTCCTTTGATTATGTACTGTCTTGTCCCTGTCTGGATGACTTTTCAGAAGCTGACAGAGCTTTTACAATTTAATTGGTGTTGACACCTTTTGAAGCCATGCCTTGAGGCACTAAGGGTCATTGTCTGCTTTCTCTGTTTCTCTCCAATGCCTCCACTTGGCTACCTTGCAGCCTGTGGTGCCTGGCTGGCCCCTGCACTTTTTATTCATGTTCATACTTGTTCTGGGTCCTGTTACAAGAGCCCTTGTTAAATGCCCAGCAGGCAGCAGTGAATGGAGATTTTGACTATGTGGGATTTGAGGCCTCTGGCAATAATGGAGAATAAACTATAAATACAAATGTATCCCTGTTGTGGACTGTGTTGTTATCACCAAAGATTTATTCCAGAGGACCTCAGACCTAAGTTACTTTCTGTGCATGCTCGAGGCTGTAGGCCTTACAATTAGGTTTCTGCTTTCCATTCTCAGGATTCTCTAACTATGACTTTTCCTCTATCATTATTTCCAATTTGGTATCTTCTTCCTTCTTTTAGAAACAATCTCTTATAGCAGTTGTAGGAATATCGTTATGATTCTGACTTGCCTTCCAACTTTGTTATCTCAAAGTTTAAGAACAAAACAAAGGGTGAATTCTACATTGTTTTTCAGATTCAGTTCTGCAAAAGAGTGTTTTCCCCCCAAGAGTCATGTTTAACAGGCAACTTAGTGACAGGCTGAATAACTGTCATCTTTTATAGAGGTTTACTTAATTTGCTATGTGAAAAAAAAAAAATCAAAATTTCCAGTCAGTGTTATCAACTACCTATAAAATTGCAGATGATCAAAAAATTACTTATTCACAAGTTCTACTAAAAACCTTCTTTCTATGAAAGTATTAAGATCTCTAGAAAGGCTTTTGTTTCCTCTTACCTGATTGTCAAATTTATATGGTCTATAGTAAATATAATAAACCAGATGCTTATATTTTTTAAAAGTAGATAAAGAAGGTATATCAACTTTTATAGTGATTGCTGTTTTAGAAGATAAAATATATTAGAGAGAAAAGTGTATTCTGAAAATATTTGCATAGATGATTTTATAAAATAACATAAATTAAATAAAGCACTAACTTCAATGTTCATATTTTTACATAATCCAAATCTACTGACTTTTCAGGTCATTAGAAGAATCAAGTCATAAACAAAAATATTAATGATTTTAGTAATAATTTTCCAGTGAACTTTATAACTAATTTCCTCCAAATATAAACATATTATGAGAAAATTCACAAGAGGCATGATTTCTGTTTGATTATATTGCCAACACAAGATTAAGGCTGAGATCCTTTGTTTTGACAAGAAATAATTAAATTCCCACAAAACTAAAGAGACAGCAAAATAAAAATGAGCCCAAACCATGAGAAAGGATAACTTACCTGGACAAAGAGACATTTGAAGGACAAGTTCATCTTTCCACCTGTGAAAACTCTTACAAATGAAAGACAACCTGCTTTTCTTCCAGTACACCAAGGCCAGGGAAAGATGAAACTATTTCTAGTTATACTTAGTAACAAAAGCAACATTAAAAAAAATATGAATTTACTAATAGTGAGGAATAAATGGTAATAGAGTTCATGCAGCTGAAAGTGGAGATGTGACTCTGGTATTTAACTTTCTGCAGTATGTCAGCTATGGAGGAGACAGAGAAGAATCGTTGTTAGTCTGTGTCAAGGGCGAGGTTTCTCATTGCCATTTTTGTTAAGTTCTGTGATTTGAGGAAATTACTGAACTCTGCAGTTCAGTCTGTTCATCTGGGAAACAGAAGTTGACTTGCCTAGGTCGTTGTAATGTGTCAGTAGATAATAGATATGCCAGAACCTACGATAGAGCAATGAAACTAATGGCTTGTTATGATTTCATTGGATTTTTGTTCTTTTGGTTTTATTTTTGTGGTCTTTGTCTGTTTGCTGCTGTTTTGAGATGTGACACAATAATTTAGCTTTTGTACCACTGAAGGCTTCATATGTTTTGGGATTAAAACTCACTCATAGGTGGGAATTGAACAATGAGAACACATGGACACAGGAAGGGGAACATCACACACTGGAGCCTGTTGTGGGGTGGTGGGCGGGGAGGGATAGTATTAGGAGATATACCTAATGTTAAATGACGAGTTAATGGGTGCAGCACACCAACATGGCACATGTATACATATGTAACTAACCTGCACGTTGTGCACATGTACCCTAAAACTTAAAGCATTAAAAAAAAAGATCCTTTACTATAGCTTCCAAACAAAACAAAAACAAACAAACAAAAAAGTCTAAAACATTTTCTATAGCTGGTATGTCCTTCTGGAAGATCTGAAGAAAATCACTGGGACACCCATCAGAAAACCATAATTCTGGGTTGGACTTTACCAGTATATATTGTGGGGGAAGTAATTTTAGGCATTACTTCAGAGGTATAACTATAAACCCTTGTTATGAAAAAGCCTACATGAAAAGGAAAGGAATCTCCAGAGAAGAAAAAAACTTTAAAAATGCCAGGTATGCAATTATGAATAATGAAATACTTATAGCTTGATATTGAAAGAAATATACCATATCTGGAAAAACAGAATTACATATAAATAAATCAAACCAATAGGACTCTCTGATGTAGTCTCAACTCCAGGATAAATAACAATGTGGTGCCATTTATATAGCCATTCATCATATTCCTTTCACTGCCTATTTCCAGGTCTTGTGGCTGGGGATGTTTAAAGGAATAAAATATATTTTATGTCCTTAAGCTTATGCCCTAGTAAGGACCTCCCTCCTATTCACCTAAACTGAATCCCATATAGGAATCTACCAAAATAACTATAGCACTTCATTGACTTTATTTGCTTATCGATGAGCCTCCTCACTAGATTGTCACATCCATGAAGAGCAGAGGATGTGTTTTATCCATTTCACCTCTCAAGCATTTTCACAGATCCTAGTATATAGCGAGAATTCAATAAATGCATATCAAATGAATATTAATGAATTAATTGGTGAATGATAAATTAATGGAGAATTAAAGATGACCCCACAGTTACTACTTTGAAGTACTCACAGAATGGAACTACATCATTATTTTTCAGATGTCATTCCCTGATAACACCAAAATGACCTTCCCTGGTTATATACCACAATGTAAATACTTTATTTTTTTTTTTTACATATACTTGATTGCTCCTTGTCTATAGGTTACAGGAGACTTGTCACTCCTGTTCTCCACCCTATCTCCAGTATCTTGCCAAGTGCCAATCATGTAGAAAGAACTAAAGCAATGTGTTTTAAATCAATTAATGGACTGACTGTTACAGAAAACAAAAATTTGAGAGCGTGCTTCAGAAGAAGAATAAGAAGGAACTGGATTGTGGGTGTGTATAATTTGAGACAAAAGCATCCAAACTAAGTGAAGATACCCCGCAAGTTGCTGTGAGATTTGTTCTCAAACCAAAAAGGGGTCAGGGTTGGAGTCGTGGGTGTATAGAACTGGGTGTCATCTCTTCACTTAGGTTCAGGGCCTAATACACAGTAGACATTAAATAAGTGTTTGTTGAAAAGTTGCTGAAGGCAGAAATTCTTGAGAGAAAGGGATCAAGAGAGCACAAGAAGGAAATGATTTATCCCACACTGTCACATTTTCTTTTATTACTGTAAAAAACAAGAGTCCACATTAGTAAGAATACAGAAAAAACTAAATATACAGGAAAGTTGAAAGTTTGCCTTCCATAATAATTGAATTAAGCTACATTTGTATATATAGTACATGTAACCAATCTTTGTTTAAAAAATATGGTCAAGCTACTAGTTATATTTTAAGTAATCGTTGATTATAAGAAAAGCCTTGGTTAAATTTATTAAAACAAACATTTAGTTGTGATTGTTTAACCCTGTATTAATACAGAGACCATCAGAATTCAAAGCATTGGAACTGGCTTATGTTATTCTTTCAGAGAAAGACCTTCACTCTTCTCTGATGCCTTTACAAATGGTTAAAATGAGAAATGTCTTTTCATTTCACTTTTGTAATATTACACTTGAAGATGATTCAATCATAGAAAAAGAAGGAAAGTAAGATATTGCCTTATCTAATGTCTTTATTTTACAGAAGAGACATTTAAGCCAGGAGGAAAATGATCATTTTTACTATTTTTTCAGTGTACTTTCTTTCTGTTGTTGAAAAATGAAAATCAAATGGTTCAATAGATTTTCCCTTTTGCTTTAGTTGCTAAAAAACCTTAGAGCAAAGTCCACATATGGTTCTTAAAAACCTCTGAGCATAGTACTTTCTTGATGAACTCTCTCCTATTTTTTTTTTTTTTTGGTAAAAATTTGTATCCCAAGTTGTTATTTAATCAATAAGCCACTTCAATCCATTTCAAAAGAAGACCAGATACTTAAAGAGAATTCTAAAGTAGCAATTACTTGTAAAATAACTGCAGTTAGCTCTTGATTTTTAGAACAGGTTTTTCTTTTTCTTTGGGAATCGATCCAGCAAGATATTAAACATCACAATGTCTTTTAGTGATTGATATAAATAATAAGCATAATTTTTTTTTTTTGAGACGGAGTCTCGCTCTGTCGCCCAGGCTGGAGTGCAGTGGCGCCATCTCGGCTCACCGCTGCCTCTGCCTCACGGGTTCACGCCTTTCTCCTGCCTCAGCCTCCCAAGTAGCTGGGACCACAGGCACCCGCCACCACGCCCAGCTAATTTTTTGTATTTTTAGTAGAGACAAGATTTCACCATGTTAGCTAGGATGGTCTCGATCTCCTGACCTCGTGATCCACCCGTCTCGGCCTCCCAACGTGCTGGGATTACAGGCGTGAGCCACCGCGCCTGGCCAAGCATAAAAATTTTACTCCAGAATAAGTTACTATAATGTGTTCATCTAATGGAGGCCATGCTCTGAAAAAAAAAAAAAAACAAAAAAAAAAACTCTCCAAAATAACCAAGAACTATTCCAAAACGTGTGTGTGTGTGTGTGTGTTTGTGTGCATGTTTTAGAAAAAAAGCAACAATGACAGTACTACCTAAACAAAGTCAGAACATCAGCTGGGGAACATCCAAGTTATTCTTAGTGTCATAAATGAACAGAGTTTGGCCTCGAAGTAACTAAATAGTGTATGGTTGTCCATTAGAAGAGGAGACACAGGAACATTGTTTCCTGACAAATCGGCATCATTCAATGTACCTCAAACATCCTGGAAATCTATCAACAACATAGATGAAGGTGCAATGTCCAGCTTCGTCTTTTACAACCCTTTTGCCAAACTTCTCTCACCCAGTTTCCTTAACTATATAATGGAAATAATAATAGTATCTACTTCATAGAATTTCATGAAGTGTTAATAAATGACAGTCTCAATATGGTAGTTACTAATTATCATTATTATTCTTTACTAAGCATCAATTACGTGTGAGGTACTGAAGTTACTGAAATTTAATAGCCAGAATAGTATAAGTCATGGTCTTTGACTTAAAAAAATAATAATGAACACCTCAAAAAATCCCATTTGGTATATACAGGAAGTGAGACTTCTGATTTTAAAAAAATAATAAATTTAATGTAATGTCACTTATGAAAATACAGCTTTAGAAATACAGATTTAGAGAAGTTAATGCCTCACACTGGGCTACAGTAGTACAGTGGTCTTCTAAGGAAAGTGGAACTTAATCTGAATATTATTAATAATATCCAGCTATTGTTTCATGAATATTCATTATTTGCTGGCTGTCATTTTTTTTAATTTTCAAGAAGGCACTTTATTCAAACTGAAGTTCTATTAGTACTATGATAAATAAATCTTTTTTTCATTTCGTAGACATAGAATAAAAGGTATTTTATTCTTCTACACACATTTAAATTTTTTAAGTTTCATGATTGAAAACAAGATACTACTCTACATTCCCAACTTTTAATTCTAATGATATGCTTGTTTAAATAGCCAACATTTCTGAGGGTAAATTATATTTTGTCCATAAAAAGATCACATTGTGTAATTATCATGCTTCCCATGATGATGTTCAGACAACCTACGGCACTAGAGCAGGATGCGGAACTTGACATACCTATAGGAACTATCTCCAGACAAGTAGGTGTCCACAGTGTGTTGCTAAAATTTCAGTCACAATTCATTCATATAACAAATGGCTGTTGAATAACTAATGTTCTACAACACAGATATAAATAAAACTAAATCTGATCTCATGGGGTTACATTTCAGTAAGAAATAACATCAAATAAACGTGTGTGTGTGTGTGTGTGTGTGTGTGTGTGTGTGTGTGTAATGTCAGCTGGAGATAACTCCTAGAAAGAAGAATAAAGCAGAGAAATGAAGCAGAGAACCACAGGTGAGAGGGGAACAGGTGCTAATTTAGATGGGATGTTCAGGGAAGACCTCTACAATGAGGTGATCGTTGAAGAGAAAACTGGAGGAAGAGAGGAATAAACCATGTGACTATTGGGGGCAGAGGAATCCTAGGCAGAACAAGAACGAAGACCCTGAGGTGGGAGAGCTTTGTATGTATAAGGACTAGGAGGTCAGTGGAGCAGAAGGAGAGTGGCCAGTTGGAGATAGAGTAGAGGACCAGATCCAACAGGGTTCTATAAACCATAGAAAGAACATGGGATTTTTACTCTGAATAAGATGGGAGCCATTGAGGATCTTAGAGATGAATAATGACAGTATCTGACTTCTATTTTAGAAGGAGTAATGCTTGCTGCTGTGAAGAGAACAGACCACATGGCAGCAAGAGTAGAAGCCATGAGATCAGCTAAGAGGTTATTGCAATGCTGTTGCAATCATTCAGTGAGTAACAATGGTGGCTTGCATTGGGGTGGTGGCAGGGGAGGTAGTAAGAAGTGATTGGATTTGAGTTGTGTATTAAAACAGAGTATTTGCCAATGCATTGGATGTGGAAAATGGAGCAGGCTTTTACTGAAACAGGAAAGACTGGGAGAGAAGCAAACTTGGTGGGGAATCAATAATTCAGTTTTGACTGAATAATTTTGAAGTAACTCAGAAGTGCAAGTGAAGGGAAGTCATTTAAATATATGAGTCTGGGATTGAAGACAGAGGTTTGGGCTAATCTGTATATTTGGGAGTCATCAGTATACATGTGTCATTTAAGGTACTCAGGACCAAAGATGGTCATCTAGGGAGAGAATGTGGATGGAGAAGAGATGAGATCCAAGAACTGACCTCTGAGGTTCTCTGTCATTAAGAAGCCAGGAAGATGAGGAGGAATAAGGAAAGTAAACCAAGAACAGCCAGTGTGGGTGCAAAGGAACTTTTATGTGCTCAGCTTTGCAATGTGTTGCTGATTGGATGCATAAGATGGGGACTGAGAAATAACTTTTGGATTTGCGATGTAATGGGTGACATTGTCTAGAGTAATTTCAGTATTAATAGCCGTAATAATGACAACAAATGCTGTGCCAAGTTATTTCCCTGTTTTTCTCTCAGCTGCATTCTTATACTTGTGTGCTTTGCTCAGCTTTGTATGGGCAAGGATTTGCCAAATTACATTTCCCACATTCTTTTGCCAGCTGACTCTCTGTTAGGTTCTGCCAATAGGACAGCACTGGCGGGAGATGAGGAGGCTGGACTGGAGATAAGAACCCTGCTTCTGATTCAGATAGTTGTTGCACTTGCTGACAGTTGCTGGAGGTGCTCTAGTGGCACTGAGGGTAGGATGAAAAGGTAAAACCTTGTTAGGGTTTTCAGACCTCATGGAGGCTGCTTGTCTACTGAGGAAGCAGAACTGACAGTAACAGCCCCTCCAGCAGCAAAGCAATAGGTATAAACACCTGGGCTCCAGCTCTGGGGAGTTGCCAACTTCTGGTCTCTTTATTTCTTCTTATTAAAAACTTTAGACCCCTCCTTCCCCTTTTTGTTTTTTCAGCCCTTCTAGCCACCTTCATTAACCAATTCCCTAAATAAAATTCCCTCTGCTTGACATACTTGAGTAGTTTCTGATTTTCTGTCTGGATCTTGACATCTTTTTTTAGTCCTTCCTATAAAACAGACAGTGTGGTAGGTGCTTTCCAAAACATTTCATTAAATTCTTACAACAACCCTGTGAAGTGGGGACAGTATTTATTCCCATATTGTAGATGAAAAAAAACTGAATCTTAGAGAAGTGAATTAATTTACCCAAAGCCACTATCAAGTGAAGGAATCAAAACTTCTACCACAGTTTGCCCGATTCCAGAGCCTTTGTACTAATCAACATTCAATATTTTGCCTAAAGGGAATTTCAGTTGATTTATTCCTTTGAGTGGATTGAAACTTTCAGTAACTTAGAAGAAAAGGGTTGTAAAAACTCTAAATCATTAACATTGATCAATTGTGAATTATACAATTCTACCTGCCCTCCAGTTCAATAAGCTTCTCTATAATCTCTGTTCGTCTTTTTTTTATACTGAATACTTACAAAATTAGGGAATTAATTGTCTCATCTTTAAGTTGATTTTACTTTGTAGCAGTTTAAATGATTAGAAAATTCATTATGTAAACATCGGCTTTGGTATAACATTTTATCCACTGATTCTATTTGAACTGCTTGATTATACCAGACTGACATTTTCTATGTCTATTTGCCCTGCTGAGAAAATTTTAAAAACAGACTTTTAGGTCAGAATGGCACCTTGTACCTTGTGATTTTTAAACTCACCACAAGCAACTAAACCAAAGATTGTTGCCTCAGGCAAATAGCACCCACAAAATGGGGTGGCCAGAAAACTAGATAATTAGATAGGAGAACTCCATCCAACGAAGATAATTGGATGGAGTTATTATGTTTGCTGAATATTAACTGAAGCAATTAAAAAAACTTTTCCTTCCCAAAATTTAAATGTGTGCTAGAAACATACAGATAATATGGTGGGTACAAGCCTATAGATACATGATAGAAAGCAGTAGGTAGAATATAACATATTATAAACTAAGAATAAGCAAAATTTATGAGGTAGGTAGTGGATGCAATAACTAAACAATGATAGGAGAGGAAAGATTCAGAGGGTGGATAGCAATAGTAGAAGAAGAGATTAAGATTTGCTAAATCATAATAATAGGATCAATCAATCCATCAATTGATTCTAGGGGTAGCCAGATTAGGTTATGACATGATTGTATATCCAGAGCAAACTTCCACTGGTGATTGTAATCAGAATGCAATTCTACTATCTATGAAGTTTAAACTCTGCAGTTATTAAGACTTCTTCCTAGTCCCCTGTATTTTCTCATGAGTCATTTCCATTACTTGAGTATATCTCTGTTCCTTGAAATTTGAAGAACCTTAAAAACTGAACTTCAAATACAGGCAAAATTGTCTTACATGAAATCCCTATAAATAATTGAATACAGCTAGCATGTCCTTTCTAATTCTTCTCTTTTCCACATTAAACATCCATATACCCCTAATTTGTTCCTTGTAAAATCAAATTTCCACACTCTTCACCATTTGGTTGAACTCTAATTTATTAATGTCATTCTTGAACTATGAAACACGGTGGGAATACTTTAAAAAATAATTATTGAGTGCTTCCTTCTTATAACTCTTTTTCTTTAGCTTCTGTAATAGCTGCCTTCAAGATGATTTTCATGCCACATTGGATCAGGGTTGTTTATGTGATAAATAGCATATGGCCAAAGTAAGGATCAATCATAAAAGACTCCTGGTTCAGCTTTGGGCTCGTGCTCTCTTGAGCTCTCTCTTTCTTTCTTTCTTTCTTTCTTTCTTTCTTTCTTTCTTTCTTTCTTTCTTTCTTTCTTTCTTTTTCTTTCTTTCTTTATCACTCACTCTTGAAGAATCCAACTGCTAGATTGTGAGGATCTTTCAATTGCCCATGGAAAGGTGCACCTTGTGATAAGGAACATAGACATCCAGGCAACAGCCAGTGAGGAACTAACGTTTGCTCCTGCAGATGATTTCAGCCCTGGCCAACACCTTGACTGCTACCTTATGAGAGACTCTGGACCAGAACCACCCAGTAAAGCAGCACCTGGATTCCTGACTCTCAGAAACACTGTTAAGTAAGGTTTGTTTTAAACTACTAAAGTTTGAGATGATTTTATGCACCAATAGATAACTAATACAGCTTCCATGACATATCATTTTTACATTCTCTACTTAGTTCACTAAATTCCATCCCAACTCTTCCTACAGCTATTATTTAAATGTTGACATTCAATAGAAATAATGTTTCTTACAAATAAATTAAAATGTATCCTGTGTTCATGGATTGGAAGAATTAGTATTGTTAACACTTCCATACCACTCAGAGTAATCTACAGATTCAACCCAATCACTATCAAAATACCAAAGACATTATTCGCAGAAATAGAAAAAAAATCCTAAAATTCATATAGAGCCACAAAGACCGCAAGTAGCCAAAGCAATTTTGTTGTTGTTGTTGTTGTTGTTGTTGAGACGGAGTCTCGCTCTGTCGCCCAGGCTGGAGTGCAGCGGCGCGAACTCGGCTCACTACAAGCTCCGCCTCCTGGGTTCACGCCATTCTCCTGCCTCAGCCTCCCCAGTAGCTGGGACTACAGGCACCCGTCACCATGCCCAGCTAATTTTTTGTATTTTTAGTAGAGGCGGGGTTTCACTGTGTTGGCCAGGATGGTCTCCATCTCCTGACTTCGTGATCCACCTGCCTCGGCCTCCCAAAGTGCTGGGATTACAGGCGTGAGCCACCGCCCCTGGCCGCCAAAGAAATCTTGAGCAAAAAGAACAAAACTGGAGGTATGGCACTACCTGACTTCAAAATATACACCACAATGTTACAGTAACAAAAACAGCATGGTATTAGCATAAAAACAGACACATAGGCCAATGGAACAGAGTAGAGAGCCCATAAACCAATCCATGTACTTACAGCTACCTGATTTTCAACAAAGTTGTCAAAAACACACAATAGAGAAGAGACAAGCTCTTCAACAAATAGTGTTGGGAAAACTGAGTATCTACATGCAGAAGAAAGAAATTAGACCTTTATCTCACACTGTGTATAAAAATCAACTCAAAGTACATTAAAGACTTAAATGTTAGACTTGAAGGTATAAAATTACTAGAAGAAAACATAGGGGACGGCTCTATGACATTGGTCTGGGCAATGATTTTTCAGCTATGACCCCAAAAGCACAGGAAAAAAAAGCAAAAATAGACAAATGGTATGCATCAAGCTAAATGCTTCTGTACGGCAAATGAAACAACAGAATGAAGAGACAACATGCAGAATGGGAGAAAATAGTTTCAAACTACATATCTAATAAGGGTTTAATATCTAAAATTTGTAAAGAACTCAAACAGCTAAATAACAAGGAAACAAATAACCTGATTTTAAAATGGGCAAAGGACTTGAATAGACATTTCTCAAAAGAACACATACAAATGTTAACCACGTATATGAAAAAAGGTTCAACGTCGCTAATCCTCAGGGAAATGCAAATTAAAACCACAATGAGTTATCATCTCATACCTGTTAGAATGGCTAAAATAAAAAAGACAAAAGATAAGTGTTGCCAAGGATGTGTAGGAAAGGGAATGCTTGCACACTGTTGGTTAAAATGTAAATTAATATAACATTATGAAAAATAGTATGGAGGTTCCTCAAAAGTTTAAACATAGAAATACCTTATAATCTGGTAATACTGCTACTGGTTATGCGGTTGACCCAGGAGCAACATGGGTTTGAACCACATAGGTCCACTTATCCATGGATTTTCTTCCACCTCTGCCACTCCTGAGATGGCAAAACCAACCCCTCTTTCTCCTCCTCCTCACCTACTCAATGTGAAGATGATGACGATGGAGAACTTCATAATGATCTACTTCCACTTAATGACAATAAATATATTTTATCTTCCTTATAATTCTCTTAATCATTTTCTTTTCTCTAGCTTACTTCATTATAAAAATAAGTATACAAGACATACAGCATACAAAGTATATATTAATTAACCATTTATGTTATCTGAAAGGCTTCCATTCAACAGTAGTTGAATTTTGGGGAAGTCAAAATTTAGACACAATTTTTTGACTCCATGGGGAGTTGGAACACCTAACCACTGTGCTTGTTGTTCAAGGACCAACTGTATAGCCAAAGGAAACGAAATCAGTATGTAAAAGAGATATATACACTCCCATGTTAATTGCAGCACTATTCACAATAGTCAAGATATAGAATCAATCTAAGTGTCTATTAACAGATGAATGAATAAAGAAAATGTGGTATAAATACACAATCAAATACTATTCAGTCATAAAAAAGAAGGAATTGTCATTTGCAATAACACAGATAACCTAGAAGACATTATAGTAAGTGAAATAACCTAGGCATAGAAAGAAATACCACATGATTTCACTCATGTGTGAAAGCCGAAAAAGTTTATCTCATCAAAGTAAGGAGTAAAATGGTGGTTACCATGGGCTGGGGCACTGGTGGGGGAGGAGGTTGGGGAAAGATTGATCAAAGGTAACAAAAGCTCAGTTAGCCAGGAGGAATAAGTTCAAGAGATCTATTGTACAACATGGTGACTATAGTCAATAAAAATATATTATATTCTTGAAAAATGCTGACAGTAGGTTTTAAATGTGCTCACTACAAAAATGACAACTTTGTGAAGTCATGCATATCTTGGTTGGCTTAGTCTGACCATTTTAGAAAACTGTCTTGTGCATAGTAAATATATACAATTTTATATGCCAATTTATAAAATTAAAGAAAAAATAAAAAGAAGAGGAAGGATTAAATATTGTCTCAGACTTCATTATATTTTTTTACTACTTCTGAAAGTCATTATTTATATCTAAGATTTTGAGTCACTAACTCACTGGATTTCCAAATTCATGTCTCTGGTGCCTATCTATTTTCTGCCAACTGCCAACTGACTATCTCCTCTTGGATGTCCCAAAGGCACATAACACACAATAAACCCCAAAACTAAACTTAATTGTTCTCTTCATACCATTTTTTCCCTTAAATTGGATTTTAGCATCACAATTTATGTAGCAGTGCAATGTGGACAATTTTCTCTTGCTCACCATCCACATTCAATTGCTTTCAAAGTCACATAATTTTCATCTATCATTTCTCTCAATTCTATCTCTTCCTTTCCATCCTTACTACCTTTGTTCAGAGGTTCTCTCTTTCACCTCTCTATTTTTTTCTTCACCCTACAGTTTGAATGATCTTTACAAACACAAGTCAGAGAAATCACTTGTAGAATAAAGAATTTGTCTTTCAGTGAAAAACAATGAATTTACTGGAAAACATCCCCCTCGAGATTATCTGATTCTTGTCTTTCACTATCTTTGAGTTACTTTTAAATGCTCTAAGTTGTAGGTAACAGATAAAATGTGATTTCTGGCCTGCCTAGTAGAGGGTCAAATAATTTCCCTTCCCCAGCTGTTGAGAAGCCAGTTTTGTCTCCATTGCATATTCATATCAACATTGCTTGACTCCATATAAATTTGTACTTCCTGACTTCTTCTATGAATCAGTTTTAACATCTGTCTAGGTCCCTCATGGGTTAAATAAACCCTTAACATGTGTTCATTTTTATATCTGTGTAAGAGTCATGATTTTACCCTTTTTAAAAAATTATCTTTTAACTTCTCTGCTGAAAATCATTTAAGGTCTCCCCAGTGTATATGGGATCAAGTCCAAACTCTTTACCATGACAACCATGGTCACTGACAATGCTGCTTTCCATCAAAACCCCAGTTTTCTCTGCTGCTGCTGCTACATACAGCCTATGCTCCAGCTAAACTACCTGCTGGCCTTGAGCATATTATGCTGTTTCAATGCTATGACTTTTCCATAATCTTCCTCTGCTTCTGGGTCTGGTAAATGCTATTGCTATGTCAAGCCCTCCCCATTAGAGATTAATACGTAAGGGCTTCCTCTTCCATGCCGTTTGCATTCATTCTTCTTTTTCACATTATATGGCATTGCTGTTTACAAATCCCTCTGTCCCAATAAAATGCTTATACCCAGAAGGATCATGCTGGGTTTACCACTATAACCTTAGTGTCTATCACAGTTTCAGTCTATCAAAGACTATTTATTGAACACCTGCAATATGCTATGCCTGTACAATATATGATTATGCTACAATATATGGGACAGAGCCCTTGTCCTTAAAGGGCTCAGAGTTCATTGGAAGAAAGGACCCAAATCTCATATTTTTTGTTAAATGATTATCAGTGAATGACTATCAAACACAAAAATGTGTCATATATTGTTTTTTCTTCCATTTACACTTCCTAGTATCAGCACCTTACCTTTCTATCCTGTACCAAGTAGCCATTTTAAGTTATTTTCTCTGCCAAAAAGACATCCTTTTGGCCTGAAGTAGAACATATAGTCTCCAAGACAATTATGTCCAAGTTAGGTTTAACTGCACACACCTTTTAGCCCACAGTAGATTGAGATTACTTGTTTCAAGGTTGAAGGGGCCTGAACTAACTTAGCTTCTCCCTTTCCTCACATGCAGTTCCAGAGAACTATAAGTTCCTAGGACCCACAATTTGTTCAAAAAAATTCACGGACTTAATTAATTATTAGACAAATAAGGATGAATGAATTAACATGGGTCAGACTTGGTGTTGGGTCCTGGGCTATTACTTTACATACTCTATAATACATCATCAGCCCAACCCAAGATAAATTAGTCTCCATAAAGCCACCACACATTATTGACTTTCTGAGTTACAGTCAAATGAAACACAAGGATTTTAGTTGAGTTCTCCCCTCCCCAATCCCAACAAATTAATTAGTATTGAATCAGACCACCTTCATTCTATAGTAGTATATCTTACTTAACTTTTCATTTGACTGGTTAAATTTTACCTTATATCTTTCATTTAAACTTAAGCATGTTTTGGTTTTGTTTGTTTGTTTTCATATGTTCATTCTCTCATTTAATATATCATGAGAAGTTGAGCTCGAGAATCAAAACCAGACTTCAACATCTCAGTAAAAGTCTCAATTTTTACTGTGCCCTCTCTGAGGCACCCCTAATGCTCTTCTGTCAAGAGAGTGCTCCATTTTCCTGAGGTAAGAGTAAACTCCGGTTTGTATTACACAAATTATTTGGTAATATTTTGTGGAGTCAGCATTTGACACCTCAGTCAAGCATATAGTCTCTAGAGGCACATGTGAACTAAGGGGAGAGCAAATGATCAGTTGAGCTGCATTATCTCTAATTGTCCAGAAAGAAAGAAATGCTGCTGCCAAGTCTCCCTGTCTTCTACAGACCATTAGTGCCTACTCCTGGGTGTTCATCTTCTTTACATTTGATAATTTCTAAAGGATGCTCTAGTAGTTAAAAGCACCTACAAAAAGAATGTAATATCTAACTGTTAGGATCGAATGTGAATTAAATAAGTTAATAGATGCCAAGTGCTGAGAACAATGCCAACACATAACACTCCTTAATATATTATAAAAAGAATTCTATCTTCATTCGAATCATTAATAAAAATATTAATCCAAACTAAATGAGTACAGACTTTCAGTAATTAGGAAAGAACCAATTTGGTATAAATCTTTTATTCAACAAGCTTTCCAGTACTGTGTTGTGAATGTAAATGACTACACTATCATTGGTATCACTGTATTTCCCCATTTCATCTACCAAAACATTATGAGAAACATAATGGTTAAAGTATTTTTCTATTAAATGCAATAATCCTGTGGGAAGAAAAGGAAGGGAAACATGGTTTGTGTGGCAGAATTTGTTCATATTGACTTGTTTTTACATTAGCCTTCACACTGGAAAAATTCCAAGAAGACAGTGTGTACGTTTGTCAAGGGGAAAATGTAGGTGGCAGGTGAAAGAGTGGAATAGGAAGTCAGGGACACTTGGGCACAAGGATGGCGAAGAGTCTCCATTTGGTATTGGGGTTTGGGCGAATCTTTGAGTAAATGTCAAGAGTCACAAAGCCAAATTTTACCTATTTAGCTTCTTTGCCAACACTGGAGATAGGAGTTAGTATGTTATTTTTCCTTTATCAAAGTGAGGAGTTGGGAGAGACACTAGATCAGCATTCCTCATAGCTCTCATGTTTCTAAATTCGTCTGAAGGCCCAAAGGCAAGAGATCACCAGCCTGACCTATGGATTTATGAGACTCAGCACCTTGTGGCTGGGATTTTAGAATGGACTTGCTTTCTTGCTTTACTCCTGGCTCTAAGTGACTTTCACACAATCAATCTCTGAAGTTTGCTCCCTTCAGGCTTAGTTTCCTAAAAGGATGCTGAAAACAAAAATGTAGGGAAAAAAATGCAAAAAGTCCCAGGAAGTTCACAGTGCCTGCAGGAGGCGGGTGAATTCCACATGCAAACCTGCAGTCTTTGTTGTGTATCTCAACCAACTGTGGTGACATTTCTAGTGGGATGTCACTACAGTGATGACCTGCTTATTTCCATTTCATTATTCAGGCCTCAGCTGGAGCATAATCCAAGGTTTAGTGCTGTTTCTAGGCCTTAAGAAAAAGAAACTATTTTCTTTGTACAGAAAAACTCTCTCTAGAGTAGCTGAAAGAATATTGTGTTGTCTTTTCATAATGCTTTTTAAACACCCTCTAAATATGAGCACAACACATTCAACCCATGAGAATCCTACAACCCCCAAGTAGGGAAATATTTTTAAAGAATATTATGGGTGTAAGAAATAGTTGTTTTTACCCAATTCTATAGCCCTTCAAAATTAGGGAAATTAGTCCTTTAGTGTGGAAACTATCCACAGCCTTACATTTAAAACACAATATGAGGTTATGGGATTTATTTTTTATTCACCCAAGGCAGAATGAAATTCTCCTGTCTGAAACATGAAGAAAACTTGTTTTTCCTCTGTTTCTTGAGGTTGCTTAATGAACAGAATAACTTTTCTCCCTTGTGAACTGCTTCTTGCTACAACAGTGGGAAGTGTAAGATAAAAAAGAAGAGCAAGAAGAGAAAGTGAAATAGAGAAAAAAGAAAGATATCCAAAATATAACTACTGTATAATAAAAGACTTTGAGTACAGCAATGATATCATATTCAAATCACAATGCAAAACAAATAAAGTTACCTGTTTATGTCACTGTAGGTGGAGGATGGTGAGAATTCTCTTAACAGTGCTACAGAGCAGAGCCAACATTTCTTATTGCAATTTAGGAAATGAATGCAATATAGCTTTCTCTTGTCTGGCTCACCTTTTAAAAAATTCTAATAAAAGAATAATTGAATCTGAGTAATAAGAATATCAGGCAAAAATTATATAGAATATTGGATTTATATAAACAGGCCCTCCAACCTGACATTTCTTAATACAAGGAAATTATCCTTTAAATGTTTAAATTGCTTCTAATTGTGAATTACAAAATGTTTGAAAAGAAATAAAATTTATTTATTTTAAAATATATGTTAAAAATTTGTATAAATATATGGGGTACAAGTACAATTTTGTTACATGTCTGTATAGTGGCAAAGTCTGGGCTTTTAGTGTATCCATCACCCACGTCATGCACATTGTACTTATTAAGTAATTTCTCATCAAACAACCCCCCTCCCCCCTCCACCCTCTGAGAATCTTCAATGTCTATGATTCCACACTCCATGTCTATGTGTACACGTTATTTAGCTCCCTCTTATAAGTGAGAACATGTGGAATTTTCAAATATACTTATTCTAACGAAGAAAGAAGAATGAATGAAACTCCAGTATCCAGTATCAAATTCTAAGTGTATTTGATATTAACATTTTAACTTTTGAAATGGAAATTGCTTGTTTAGGCTTATTTGCCTTTGAAACTAAATAAACATTGTAATCTTACTTAGACCATGGATTATTTTGTTAAACCTATATATACAGAGGAAAAGTATATTTGAGCCTGCTGTATGTGACACCTTGCAGATTTTACATTAACGAACTCTGTTTTGATAATCTGCTATGCTTATCCTACATGTGACCATATGGAGCCAGCAAAATGAATACTGAATGAAAGAATGTACTAATACAAGTTCACACAGAGGGAGAGAATGAACATTTTTTAGGGCTTATTTTTCTCAACTGCTTTCCAGAAACTTTTGCTTGTTTAAAATTAAATTTACATTTTTACTAGCAATATGAGAGTGCCATCTTGCAACATACTCACCAGCATTGAGTATTATTTTGAATTAACCTTTACCAGTTTAAAGGCCCCCAATAATGCCATTGTTATGTTAGTCTATAGTTGTTACATATAGATATATAGATATTTAACACCATTTTTGCTTATTTTTAGACTTTTATTATGGCAAATTTAAAACATACAGAAAAATAGAAAGCACAATATATTGAACTTCCATATACCCATTATCAACCATTATCAGGATTTTACAACTGTTAACATTTAGTCACATTTTATCTATTTTTTTATATGTAACAGACAAAGTCTTTTTTCTATAATGTCATTTTTGATAATGGCATTGTTCTAAAATAATAATATCAACATTAATGATTACAGGACCTCTGATTACAATCTAGATTTTTCTTGTTTTCTTGGGTTTAGGTTTATACAGTCAAAATACTATATTTTAAAATAAATTGAGATAATTTTTCCCTGTGTAGCTATTATGTCAACTTGAGATACAGTTGTGTCTGGAATTTATTCCTTCTTGTGGGTTCTTGGTCTTGCTGACTTCAAGAATGAAGCCGCGGACCCTCGCGGTGAGTGTTACAGCTCTTAAAGATGATGTTTCCAGAGTTTGTTCCTTCAGATTGCATGTGTGTCTGGAGTTTCTTCCTTCCAGTGGGTTCGTGGTCTCGCTGACTTCAGGAGTGAAGCTGCAGATGCAGACTCTGGCAGTGAGTGTTACAGCTCATAAAGGTGGCATGTCCAGAGTTGTTTGTTCCTCCCAGTGGGTTCATGGTCTCACTGACTTCAGGAATGAAGCTGCAGACGCAGACCCTCGTGGTGAGTGTTACAGCTCATAAAGGTAGGGCAAACACAAAGAGTAAGCAGCAGCAAGATTTATTGTGAAGAGCGAAAGAACAAAGCTTCCACAGCCTGCAGGGGGACCCCAGCCAGTTGCCACTGCTAGCTGGGGTGGCCAGCTTTTATTCCCTTATTTGGCCCTGCCCACGTCCTGCTGATTGGTCCATTTTACAGAGCGCTGATTGGTCCATTTTACGGAGTGCTGATTGGTGCATTTACAGTCCTTTAGCTAGACACAGAGTGCTGATTGGTGCGTTTACAATTCTTTAGCTAGACACAGAGCGTTGATTGGTGCATTTTTACAGAGTGCTGATTGGTGCGTTTACAATCCTTTAGCTAGACAGAAAAGTTCTCCAAGCTCCCACTGGACCCAGGAAGTCCAGCTGGCTTCACCTCTCACAGTTAGGTTCGTTTGTTTCCATTCATTTTTTATTTGAGAAATATTATTTGGTTTTGATTTGATTTGATTTGATTTTAACTCTGTAAAATATTAAATGGCTCCACATTCAAAGCTATAAAACAAAGTACAGAGAGCTCTAGCTTCCCACTTTCTCTCTCTACATTTGTAGATAACCAGTTTTATTGATGTCTGGTTTAACATGTAGTTGTTCCTTTTGAAATAAACAAATACAGATAAGTGTTCCTATTTGCCCCCTTTTCTAACATAAAATATAGCATTCTATATAGACTCTTCTGTTTCTTATAAATCTATGTTTATAGTTGTTTTATTGAGTCAGAACTCAAGCAGTCTATTCATTGCATATGGTGATAAGTAGTTTTAAGGATGCAGTTTGCTGTTTTATCATGTGTCTATAGTATTCATCTTTCTAACAAGATTCTAAACACCTTCAGTGCAAAAATTATGTCTATACTTTTACCATACTTTCCACACGACAAGATTCAGTGCCAAATACATAGTATGTATTTAAATTAATCATATTGATGTATTAATTACGAAAACATTTTAATATACTGTGATAATATGGTAGAACTTACCCACCCCTCTTTATAAGTCTACCCTTCCCTAAACAGACTTGTATCACAGTTTTGGTAACATTACATTTCATTTGCTAATCTACCTATCTCTTTCTGCCTTCTACAAAGTAAACTCTTTAAAGTTACAGGCTAAGCACCATTGACCATTCATCTTTGGTCCCTCAGTGTCCACTAGGGTGCCTGATATGTAGCAGACATTTAATAGATATCAGCTAAATTAAACTGAATCTACTGTAAGCAAGTGCCATTACCATTAAGAGTTGTAACCTAATTTGGGCTTAAGTTTTTATTTTAAGTTCTTACATGTTTCATGTTTATTTCTCAGTTCCCCGTATTATATATCTGCACAGTGTGGAAGGGAAATATGCTTTTCTCAAGTGGAAATGAAAACCCAAACCAAAATGAAATCCTAGAAAATGATTTGGAGAAAAGAATGTCTGAATTCTCTAAAAGGGGCTTGCAATAAGAAGATTATTGACTCTTCTTTGCCATCTGAAATTCTCCTCACTTATGAAACTATTTGTTCCTTCAAAATACATCTCAAGCTCTACCTACATTCAACCCAATATTTTGTTACATATTATCTGACAAAGTTCCTTAACTCTTTCAAAGTCCTTGTTATTAGTTTGTGGAGCTGGCACTTAGAATGAATCTAGTAAGTGTTTGCTAAATTGAATTGCTGTACTTTGAAAATTATGATATACTTTCAGATTTTGTAAATCATATAAGATTTCATAAAAATTAGCTTGAGGTAAATTGTAAGAATTCATAGTATACAAAAGGATTTTTAAATTGAGAACATTTGGTGAAAAAAATGTGTAAGACACAACAAGATAACATCAATAGAAGTTTGAGGTTAAGGAAAGGATAATATTAAGCTATGTTGCATACACAAAATAGCTGTGTAAGATTCACTACATTTCCAAATGATGGGTTGCAATTTGGCTCAAGTTGTCAACAGCAACAAATGATTACATGATTCAATGTCCATTTTAAAAAATTGAACCATTTGCTCAAGAACATATCTATTTTTAGAAAGGAAACAGAAAATTTTCTTTTATGGCTCTTCATAAAGGAGGCACTATGTGATATAGTAGACAATGGCTTCAATAACCTTACAAAAAGTACAATTATGGACCTACTAGAATGGCTAAAATTTAAAAGACTGACACTCCCAAGTATCCCTAAACATGTGGAGCAACTGGAACTCTCACAAACTGCTGATGAGAATGTAAAATGATGCATCCACTTCAGAAAAAGAGTTCAGCAGTTTCATGTAAAGTTAAACATGCACTTACCGTGTAATTCAGCAATTTCCCTTCTAAGTACCTACCCTCAAAATTGGGAATATATAGCCACACAAAGATTCCTATGCAAATGTTCTAATCAGTGTCATTTATAATTGTCAAAAGCTATGAACAACCCAATCCTCCATCAATTAGTGAATCGATAAACTAATTGTGACCTATCCATACAATAGAATACTACTCAACAATGAAAAGGATCAACTATTGGTACATGTAATAATATTAATGAATCTAAAAAATATGTGCTACATAAAAAAACTAGCCAGACACCAAAAAAATGCATAGTGTATGATTCCATTTATATGATATTACAAAAAAGGTAAAACTCACCCATATTATCGGAAAGAAGACCAGGACTCAGGACAGAAGAAAATGACTGCAAAGGGACATTTGGGGGCAATGTAAATGTTTTATATTTTGACTACATTGGTAGTTACAAAAGTTTATATATTTGTCAAAACTCCTCAAACTGTATAGTTAGAATGAGTACATTTTATTATATGTAAATTATATACCAACAAAGTTAGCTTGTAAAAAACAATAATTATCTTCATTGTGTTATTTGTAATATCCCAAAATATAGGCTGAAGTAAAACATCTAAGCATATTTTAATTTTATAAGGATACATCCGAGATAGCTGAAGAATGAAGGTTTCTAATCTGGCTAAATATATGGGATAACTTTATTTGGAATATTTAATGAATTTTTTACAGGTAATTCCCTTAAATGTTATTCTATACAATTGCCTTTTGAGCTTTTTACTAAGAGCTGTGTGTCAGAGAATTCAAAGTTAAACTCTCTGATAAGGGCATGGAGTACACATATCTTAGGTTGTTGATTAAGTGCAAACCCATATTCTTTAGTATTTAGCAGAGGTGAAGATAAAATGAATATCATTTATGAGAAAGTATTAATAAAATGTACTGATTTCTTCTTCATATATTGCTCTTTTAAGTGTATTTTATAGTCTCCTGGATCTTCTTTATGAAAAGAGAGGTAAAAGAAACACTTACTGAACATCCATTATGTCAGACACTTGGTTAAACATTGTAATGTTGTGTATTCTCACAAGAACCCCATACATTACGTAATGCCATCTTCATTGTACATAAATACAGCAGGACTACACTAAACTTTAATTTTGAAATGCCTAATAGTTCATTTTTATCATAATGCATAATGTCCATTCCTATATAATCAACTTTAATAAGATTGTTGAATAAGAGACAGATCTAAAAGAAACCAAAAAACTCAGCACAAGAACTCTTTAATGCATTGAACACATATTTATATTGTGTACCTACTAGAGTGGTAGAATAATGCTGTGGTTAACAGTGTCAATTCACATCCAAATCCTGGCTCCACTACTAACTGGTTGTATGGTCTTGGGCAAATGATTTAACCTTCCCATGTCTCAGTTTTCACATCTATAAAATGGGGATGATTTAGTTAGAAAGATACCCAGCTCAGAAGGCTTTTGTGATAAATAAGTGAGTTAATAAATGGAGTCCTTTTCTTGTAAAGGTGATGGATAACAAGAAAGGAACCCTTCTGTCCATGTGCCTATACGTCAGCTATATCTTTCCCACTTCTTAACTGAACTCAATGTAGTAGATAATAGCATTTTATTACAAATAAATGAAGAACACTTGATTATCTGACCAGATTATAGATGTAGGGACAGGGAAAACCCATATGCAAGTGTAATTATTCAAATGATCTGGTCCTAGAACTCTGTAAAGTTCCTTCTCAATAAGTCACTAGCATTTGTGTATACTGAATATGATTATCTCCCAAAGTCTACCACAGAATCACAGTTGTTCTCCTAAGTCTCCAATCCATGGTCCTAAGCATATAAAGATGGCAATCCTACTAATAATCCTACTAGCAACACTAGCAATTGTTACTAATATGGCTAAAAATCTAAAGCAAGTCTGTAAGTCATCCATTCAACAGACACCACCCCCCCTCCAGGAAAACTGCCCTTAAGATTATGCCAAGAGCTACTTTTTAAAATCGTAGTGTTAATTATGACAACTAAGAACTCGCTCAAATCAAAGCTGTGTAATCAACAGTTTTCTCTTTTGACATCATCCTCTTTCGATGACTTTTCTTTCTACTAAGGAATCATTCCCCATTCATTTCAGTGCCATTTTTCTGCCCCATCCATGTGCTGAGTCTGCTGAGCTGTCTCCTGGCTTCAAGCACATCTTGTTTCTCTCTCCCAATATCAAAACTTATAAACTACAATTTATATTCTACTACAATCCAGAAATGAATTTTCTGACCTGTAGAAAGAAGTTTTACCAATTATTTTATTCAATGACTGATAATATTTAATTTGCTACCCCTTAGGAGTAGCTGCAATTATACAGGCAACTCTGGATGCTGAAAATGCGATGTCTTAAGCAAATAGTTATTACCGACCTTTAGTGACAACTTATCTTGTGCTGACAGCTAAAAGATATGCATGTACTTTCTCCACTGCTGAAAGATTTAGAAAAAAGGATTTGCTTGTAGGACCGAGAGTTTGAGGACAAAGCGTACTCAGATTGGGACTAAAATGTTCTGGCATCAGAGCAACCTGGCATGATGTCACTTATAGGAAGTCTACTCAAACTCTTCAGGTCTCTATGCCATCTTTTCAAGAAGGGCTTCCATGACCACCCTGCTTTAAAATTGTAACCCTCAAAAAGCTAGTCTCCTTTCTTACTTTATTTTTCTCCATAGCTTACTAATATTAATTCCAAAAGTGTGAAGGATTTGAGATGTTACCATATGCACAGTTACATAGAACCTATATATAACACCTATAGTAGCACATAACTGTGTGTGTGTGCAATATACATACAATTTTATAAACACACACACACTAACAGAATACTGAAACTCTGGCTTAGAGACAGACTTTCAATCACCCACTATATTTGTTGCTTGTGGCTGCTGTAGCAATTTGCCATAAACTTGTTAGCACAACACAACAGAATTTTATTCTCTCAGTTTTAAAAGAAATTAGTCCAAAATCAAAGTATTGGCAGGACCACACTCCCTGGAGGGCTGTAGGGAGATTCTGTTCATTGCTTCTTTCAGCTTCTGGTGGCTCCAAGTGTTCCTTATCTCATGGCTGCCCCACTCCAATCTCAGCTTCTGTGGCCACATTGTCCCTCCTCCTCTTCTCCTCTGTGTGTCCGTCTCTAAACTCTACTTGCCTCTCTCTTCTAAGGATACATGTGATTGCATTTCTGGCTCATTCAGAAAGTCAAGGATTAAACACCTGCTCTCAAGATGCTTGTTTATTGTCCAATGGCAGAGAGCATCATTCATACATATTTGAGGAATGTGGTTTGCTCTGGAGTGGTGTGATTAATTATCTGGCCTGTGATTAATCACATCTTTTTTTTCATATAAGGTCGGATTCACTTTTTTGCCATATAAGACAATAATCATAGGTCATAGGAATAAAATATTATTTTTTAGGGACCACCATTCAGCCCAATATACATACAGATACTGTTCTTGTTCCCCATGGGGTGACATGATGAGAACCTGTCATCTCCTCATGTATACAGAGATCATGAAAATAGGAGCTAATATAAGATGGTGGGCACATTTGTCTCTGGAGAAACAGTAATGTTTGCTCTGGAGTGTAAAAAAGTCTTCTCTGGAGAGCAGAAGGGATGATCTCTAGGTATTTATTACCCTGGAGTATAAGCAAATGGCTCACGGTTGGTTTTGTTGTCCATACAATGTAAATAATGGCTCCAGGAAAGAGAAAAGAAATAGCTCTATCTTTCCAGAAGTCTCTTTTTTTTTTTTTTTTTGAGATGGAGTCTTGCTCTGTTGCCCAGGCTGGAGTGCAGTGGCACAATCTTGGCTCACTGCAACCTCCGCCTCCAAGGTTCAAGCAATTCTTCTGCTTCAGCATCCCAAGTAGCAGGGATTACAGGCACACACCACCATGCCCAGCTAATTTTTGTATTTTTAATAGAGACAAGGTTTCACCATGTTGGCCAGGCTGGTCTTGAACTCCTGACCTCAAGCGATCCACCCGCCTCTACCTCCCAAAGTGCTGGGATTACAGGCATGAGCCATAGCGCCTGGCTAGGGTTGTAATTCCATCATCCTTTAACCCGGTTGCCACTAACTTTTGCTCAGAAAGCCCTGACCATACAGAAACATGAAAATATTTATGGAGTGCTATTTCTCGGTATATAACATTTAAAATATTATATATGTTTCACTTCTCTTGTTTATGGTCTAACTAGAATATAAGTTATATGAAGGCAAGGGTTTTTGTCTTTTTTTTTTCACTGCTGTGTCCCCAAATTCTAGAACTTTGCTTGGCACATAGGAGATGCTCATACTAATTTGTTGAATAACTTAAGAATTTCTTGCAAAGGGGTTGCTTACCAATGTCCAGGAGATTAGCCTGGGACTGAGTCACATGTCAGCAGGTCCAGTGGGGTCTCCACCTGTCCACATTGAGCCTATAGGGGACCAACCTAATCATCACCAGGTGAAGTGTATTCATGTAAGGACGCAACATAAAGAGGGTAGTGTTCACCATAGCTGTCATATTAGAAAATCTTTTCTTCTAGCCTTCCTCTCTGAACTTGAATATTAAAGAATGATTATTATACTTCCTAAAGTCACTAACAACCTTTTAGGGTTGTGTCTACTTAACCAGAAATAAAGAAGAGTTGAGACTAGCAAAATAAATCAGGTTTGCTAAACCCTTATTTTGTCACAATTTAGGATTATTTTTAATCTCTACAATTCGTATCTATTCTTTATTTCTGATTATTACATTTTTCAGATCATCGTTACCTTCCCAATTCAATTCGTATCTATTCTTTATTTCTGATTATTACATTTTTCAGATCATCCTTACCTTCCCAATTACATCTTAGAAAGGCATGATCTCCAGAAATAAGCTAAAAAAAGTTTCAAAATAGATTGGATTAGGGAACAAATGTGAGCCAGAGAGCAAGTCCAGGTTTATTAAGTACTTGTATAGAACCATGTTCTCCTTATCACTAACCATGACAATGGTTTTATATTTATTTGTGTATTCCTAAATGTGTGTCCCCAACTGAAATGGAAGCCCCATGAGGGCAAGGACTGTCTACTTTGCTCACTATTATAGAACAAATACCTACTATGTACCTGGTAAATAAAAGATATTCAGAAAATATGTGTTGGAAGAAGGGAAGGAAAGAAGGAAAGGGAGGAAGGAAGGGAGGGAGGGAAGGATGGAAGGAGGAAAGGAAGGAGGGAGAGAAGGAAGGTAGGAAGCAAGGGAGGGAGGGAGGAAGAGTGGGAGGATCTTTTATGCCCCCGTTGTCTTCTTGTCAGAGACCACTATAGCTAATTTTCTTGAAGTTTCAGAGATGATCTCCATGGGATTCTTTCCCTGAGTAACAGCCTCATCACTATGGTAGAGTTTGGGTTCGAAAGTTAAATGTCTGCCTAAAATGTTAACAGGCTCTCATAATCCTTCTCCCAATCCTATTGCATTGAACATCTTTTAAATCCAGGTATCCCAGTCCACACAGCAAAGAAGAAAAAGACCATCTGCTTTATAAATTAAAAGTTCACATCTTTTAACACTCATGATTGACATAAATGCTGCTGTGAATAGACTGAGGAATGTGGAAGCATGGTTCAATTTCTTTTGCTACTCAGCAGCCAGGTCTTTCTATATTGCTATATTGCTCTTCCAGAAGTGTTCTTTGACTAATAGTACCCAGGTGATACTGGGGAGGCAATGGTAGCCAGGGATGGGGAGGCAGTAGCCTGCCTCTCTCACTGGGTGATAGATCTGTGAAGCCTGAATGAGAGGGACCCAGGGTGGTAACTGCAGCCATCTTTCTCTTTTATGATTTCTCTTTCTTTTTATTAGGTTTGACATTGAGATTGAGCTTTGTAACTAACTATTAGCCCAAGGCAAGGACTGGGGAAATGAGAATTTGCTGAAAAAGTGACCCCCATCCCCAAACACAAAGTGTGAACAACTGTACTTATGGTCTGCCATGAAAGGAACTGAAGCTGGGATTTATGTTCAGATATTGCAGTTGATTTGATAAAGTAAAATGAAACCAGCACCTTCTGCACCTGCAGGCAGGCCCAGGGACTTTCACAAAGAAATATTTCTATTATTTTTATCTTTTTGTGTTATGGTATTTGAAATGAAAGTCTGTGTCTACTCAATGCCCACAAAAGAATATCTTCTGCCATCAGTGATGAGCTTGGAATGTTGGATCGTAATAAACAAGACAAGGAGAGGAAACACAGCAAACCAAAGATGCTTTGTGATGAGGCAGGGCCATGCAGCCCACACTGTGCTCAGGGCACTTTTCAGCCATTTATCAAAGGTAGGCATGTACCAAAACAGCCTTCCTTTGGGGACACATGTCAAGAAAGCAACTCATACACCATTGAGAATTTGTTTGTCCAGTTGGAATCCTCCTATATTGCTATTATGCTTTGAGATTTTAGGGAATAAAATGACACTGCTGCAGAATTTTAGCTTCAACTCAAAAGCTTCTCTCTCCAAATGATAGTGACTGTTAGGTACAGGGCTAACTCCAACATATGAAAAGCACCACCTTCTCTCAAAAACATCCCTGGTAAAAATTATTACTAGGACATTTTTAGCTATTACTTTCAGAATAGGAACATTTTTCTTCTACTTAAACCTTGTAAAATAATAGAATTTCTCCAAACAAAATGTTGTTTCCTCCTGCCCAGAAAAAGACCAAAGAGACTGCTGCCAAGCCAGCAAATCTCAGGGAAATAGCTCAAAATAAGGATTCCCAGCGACAAGGGCTCAGGGTCCCTGAAAGAAAAAGAATGCAGTTTTTCTTATTAAAATAAATTAATCAGTCTCGTAAATGAAGGGGACAGAATGAGAAAGAGAATTATCCCTGTTAAGTGCATCTATTCAGGTCCTGCGGAAACAGGGAGTCTATGGAATTCTTAAGCAAATAAAAACACATGTGCACCAACAACGTGCTGTGTGGTTTCCTTTTTCCTCCAAAGGACCAGAAGCCTCCAGAATTCCATATACAACATTAACCTATGGAGAAGCTATTTGAATAAATCATTTATTTCTCCATTGCAGTGTCTCATTTGTTGTTGTTTTTTTTTTTTTAAAAAAAGCAGTAATATATCCTTGTCAAGAATATGCCCATATACTTTAAATAGCCCCTTCTCTCTCTACAGTACATAATTTTGTGGGTTTTTTTTTTTTTTTTTTTGGTGTAATAAATGACAAGCAGAAACAAAACTCTCAGACCAGATCTTTGAACACTGCTAAGGACAAGTGGGTATTGAGACTAAGATTTGAGTATACTTAAAAGTATTATTAGTTCAATATGTTAACATCTTGGAAGCTTGGGGTACTAGAGGACTAAATAAGGTGGTTGAAATGCTTGCTCTCAGTTTCTCATCAGTAACCGATGAGATCCTTTTTCAATGAAAAAAATTATTAAAGACTTCCAGTAATCAATGATCAATAGTAATATTTAATGAATATCTACAATATTCAAACTTCTAATTAGGCTTTAAAAAGTACAGAAAGAGGCCGGGCGCAGTGGCTCATGCCTGTAATCCTAGCACTTTGGGAGGCCGAGGCAGGCGGATCACGAGGTCAGCAGATCGAGACCATCCTGGCTAACACGGTGAAACCCCGTCTCTACTAAAAATACAAAAAATTAGCTGGGCGTGGTGGCAGGTGCCTGTGGTCCCAGCTACTTGGGAGGCTGAGGCAGGAGAATGGCGTGAACCTGGGAGGCGGAGCTTGCAGTGAGTGGAGATGGCGCCACTGCACTCCAGCCTGGGCGACAGAGCGAGACTCCGTCTCAAAAAAAAAAAAAAAAAAAAAAAAAAAAGAAGTACAGAAAGAGGAAAAACAAATAGGCCTTCCCTTTAACAAGTATATAACCTAGTTAGTGGTTTAAAACTTAAACACATTAGAAAGGCAACTAACCTTTGTAGAACATAATGTCAGACAAGGCATGCTAACAGTAAGTGTGATACATTTCAAGTGCATTTCAAGAGAGCAAGATTTTCCTCCTCCTGGACTCAGCAAGGGAATGTTTTATATAGGAAAAATAATCGGAGTTAGGTTTTAAAAACAGAGCAGGCATAAGTTAGGCATCGCTTCAGTTGTCTCTTTTCTTTTAAAAACTACCCCATAATTTAGCAAATTAAAATAATAATTATTTTTAAAATAACAACCCATAATTCTGTGGGTTGAGCAAGTTCATTTAGTAAGTTCTTCTGCTCCACTTAGTGTTAGCTGGAGTCACTGAGATGCATTCCACTGGTCAATGGACTGGGTTGGAAAGTCCAAGAATTCTTCCTTCCCATGGATGATGCCTCAGTGCTTCCTCATGTGGCCTCTCCACGGGACTTGCATGCACTCCCTCATAGTACAGTGGTCTCAGAGAGAGGCTTTGCAGTATGTACATGAATGGCTTCTAAAAGTAAGGAGGGGAAAACTGCCAGTCTACTTTAAGGCTAGTCCCAGAAATGGCACAGCTTTACTTTTGCCACATTCTGTGGTCAAAACAAGCCACAAAGCTATACTGGATTCAAGGTGAGAGGAAGTAGATTCTACTTATTCATTCATTGAAATTAACAAAAGGAAATAAATTGATAGTGGCCATTTTTTTTCTGAAAATACCATGAAGCAAAGAGAAAAAGAGGAGGTAGACTATAGCTCCTCTCATATATTGACCTCTGAACACAAAACCAATTTTCATTTCTAAGAGGTTTCCTATGTGCCAAGCAGTATGCTAACCATAGGAAAAAAAGAAATCTGTTGCTTAGCACCAGCATTCAAAGAGCTTTCACTCATTTTGTTATTGTTGTGGCCCTGGAGTGTTTTTCACATTGGTTCTTATTTCCAAATAAAATACGTATGTAAATAACCAGAAAATAAGCCTTTGCTACTCAAGTAGTTTCAAGAATAGAACATAAACCATGTCTGACACATGAAGATTATAGACAAGTAGAAAAACAATGGCATTTAGAATGCTATACAGAGGACTATAGATAGATTCAGTTTTAAAGTTTCTATTTTTTAATTTTTATTATAAATTCTGGTATATATGTGCAGAACATGCAGTCTTGTTACATAGGTATGCATGTGCCATGGTGGTTTGCTGCACCCATTAACCTGTCATCTACATTAAGTATTTCTCCTAATGCTATCCCTCTCCTAGCCTCCCACCCCCTCGACAAGCCCCGGTGTGAGGACTTTACTTAGAAGTTCAGTTGCTCTCCTTGGGAGGTCTGTTTACCATAATTTCAGTATCATTTAAATCTAGGAGTATGTGTCTACCAGCTGTCAGGAACACACTTCTATGGTGGCAACCCTAGATTATCAACTACATGGGCAAAATTATGTCCCATATATTCTGCCCGGCACCTCACCAATTCTCTTAAATTGTCATAATTTAAAAAGATGCAGTTGGGTTTTAAGGAGAAACAAAAAATACTACTACTATTTGCCCCCTCTTGAATTCTAATCAGCTCAATGGTAGACAAAAAGTAATAACCAAAGAAATAAAAATACAAGCTTTATAATACATAGAGATGAAGTCAGAATGCATAGCACAGTTTGTAGCAATCATGGGCTTCCTAATATAGAATTAACCTGCCCAGTTTTGGGCCTCCCTCGGGTGCATGGCCTGCAAAACTTTCTGCATGGAGACCAGACCAGATAGCAGCTTTCTGAGAAGGACAGGATCCTGGAAGGAGAGAAGAAGGCAGGACTGAGTAATGTATACCTTCCTCCTCCCAAGTATTATACCAGTAAATTTACTATTTCTTCTCCAGGGGTAAGTGAATGGGAAGGTAGATCAAGAAGCCAAGAATATTTGGAGAAACTCCCTTCTAACAGAAATCTGATTAATGAGATTAATATATACAGACACACACACACATACACACACATACAGATAGATAGATAGATAGATAGATAGATAGATAGATAGATAGATAGATAGATAGATGGCTGTCTGGCTGACATACATGCATACATATGTATGTATGCATGGATGTCTGGCTGACATACATGCATACGTATGTATGTATGCATGGATGTCAGCCAGAATTGAATAGATGCCTACTGGGACAACTACTTTCCATTATTTACTTTCTTCCATCACTTTTCTAAGTCAAGAAAAATCTACAGAAGTTTTAAAATTGAGAGATAGAGCCAAACAAGCACACATGTGAAAATTAAAAGAAAAAGCTATAAATTAAGAACATCTTCACAGTGTTCAGCACACTTAAAAAGCCAAGGGAAAATGCTAATAACTGCATCTACACCTCATTGGAGTTTGCAGCATTGAGAGGAAGTTGCCTGCACTTTTCAAAAAGTAGGACTGGTTTGAACAACAACAAAAAAATAGCTTTTCCCTCACATCCTATGATAGCAAAGATGGCTCCAAAAACTAACAACATATTCCAAAGTTTTTAACCTTTGTGAAGATTACAATTAATGTCCTTCAAAATCTGATTATTGTGATTATTGATTTTTAGAAACCAA
Organism: Homo sapiens; assembly: GCF_000001405.40. Lineage (NCBI taxonomy): Eukaryota > Metazoa > Chordata > Mammalia > Primates > Hominidae > Homo > Homo sapiens. The sequence goes on along the minus strand of NW_003315907.2, from coordinate 22,119 downwards.
TTTACCAGATCCTTTAAAAAAAATCATGATTATTCAGCCCCCTGGGTGTCACAAAGTAGAGTTTGCAGAATTGAAGCCCTCCATCAGTTGAGCCCATTGACACAATCCCAAATTTACACCTATTCTGTTGTGGGATTTGAGCTGGTGGTTTTTCTTCTTTTCTTCTCAGGCTTAATGCTTATGTTCCTGCTCTCGGAGTTAACCTCTTCGTGCCCAAGAATATACCACGTTGTGGTCTGCTCCTGCATTTTATAGTCTGACAGATATTCATCTCCAGCTCACAGCTTGCAGGTGGGAGCCTCAGCTGAGGAGCCTTGGTGTCAGGAAATCAGCAGCTGCTCGTATATCACACTGGTCATTAGTGGAGGATCATTCTGGACCTTTGCTCACAGCTCCTTGCTATGGCAGGAGAAGGGCTATAAAACCCTAGGCCCTGTCAGCCGTTGTCACTTAGGTGAGAATTTATCAGGTCTCCAAGTGCCCTCTGACTGGATTATTATGAATAATGAATGAAGCTTTATGCTACACCAAAGCATTAATAAGATGGGAATGACTGGGAGAAATTCTGTGCACCACAATCGAAGTCGCTCTCTGGGTTAGCAAATCCGCAGCTGGTGGGCCTGCCCAATTGAGCCTCTGCTGAATCTGTGATTGAAGTGAGGTTCTCCTTTAATTATAGAGCCAAGCTTTACAGTCTGAGTTTTAGCCTGTGGGTGGTAATAAAGAACCAGGAATGAAGCCGTGTATGTCTACAGCAGGAAAAGTGGACGAAACAGATTTTAGATTCCCTTTATTAAAAAAAAAAAGTTTAATGTCAATCATCTATTTTACTGTCACCCTAAAACAAGAGTCTAGTGTCAAAACATTAGCCAGTAAGAAATTTCTAGTATATAAATATGAGTGTCTTTTATGACTAAGATATTTGGGGTTTGGAGGGATGAATTCTACCACTTTTCTCAGTGTAGCTGCTCTTGTGTGAGCCTCAGAATTTATGTGAGCTGAAACAAAGGAAGGTGGCTTAAAGACAACAGAGGAGCAAAGGGTATCCCTGATCTGACAGAGGGAACAATGGGACTCAGACACATCCTAACCTAGTGGAAATCATTTTCTAAAACTGTGAGTTAGCCCAGTCCTTCTAGCAGAGCCAGCTTCAGAGCTGATGCTCTGGTTCCAGGTTATCTTGGCAACCATTTCAGTACATTCTGGTTACCAGCTTCCGGGATGCCCAAGTTGTATTGGAAAAGGAAGGTCATCTGACTGACTGTCTCTGGAAAACATTGCTTAATTGAATGAAGTAGAAAAGTAACCTATGCTTCTTTCATTTTTTATTTGAATCTCTTCCCAGGTTTCAAGGGCCAAAGACTAGATAATGTGTTTGTGTGTTTGTTTGTGTTCTACCGTAGACTCACTTCTTAGCTCCCATCCCATTCTTCACACATTTTCTGAGTCTCTAAATTGTTTCAGGACTACAGAAAATTTAAAAGAAAAAAAAAGACATTGCCTCTACCTAAATGAGCTGATAATAATAATAAACAGGAAAAGTACTTATTTTGTAATGCACCACTGCAAACCCAGACACTAATACCACAACTGTCTGAGAAATGCTTTGAAGCAGCTCATCTTCCAGTTGATTAAAAAATAAGAGCTTCAAAGCCATGAGTCTGTCTACTTCAGGCTCTGCAGGTACTGGGTGACCTGGAACATCTACTGAACTTCTCTAACTCTTAGTTATCCCACCTTTAAAATGAGGGAGGTGAAAATGATCTACATCCATGTTAGAAATTCTAACACCCATAATAGATGTTAAAAGAATTTATGTACCCCACTCCTGTTGTGACCATGAGAAGAAAAAAGTCAGAGCCTAAAATATGTTCAAAAAGTGAATTCTGAGGGAATCTTTCCCTGCTCTTGGTACCAAGAAAGAAATCTATTCTCTGGTCTTTCAAGTACGTGCAAATTATCAAGTACTGTTTAATCACTTAACATCAGTTGCCCTGACAACTTGTACTTGCCTCTATATTTTTTTCCCATTATCTTTCCATCTAGATGGAGTTCTTTCTTTATTTTATTCCTAGACATGTGTTGTGGTCTAGAATTATGGAATGTTTAGAGCTGGAAGGGAATTTCAAGTTGGTCAAGATTTTTTTAGTGTTTTATTTTTAATTTTTATGGGTACATAGCAGGTATATATATGTAGGGGATATATGTGACATTTCGTTTCAGGAATACAATGTGTAATAATCACATCAGTATAACTGGGGGAATCCATCACCTCAAGCATTTATAATTTCTTTGTATTAGGAATTTTTCAATTCCACTCTTTTAGTTATTTTTAAATATACCATAAATTACTGTTGATTGTAGTCCCTCTGCTGTGCTGTCAAATACTGGATCTTATTTTTTCTATGTTTTTGTACCCATTAAACTTGGTCAGATTTAATTTTCTCAAGTTCCCTTCCTCTAAAAAGCCTGCCTGGCATTCCAATAAACCCCAAGTGATCAGTCTCTCTCTCTCTCTCTCTCTCTCCATTGATTATATTGCCTGTCCTACTTTTGGATAGTTAAATAATAGTTTAGATAATTCAATATTCATATATAAGATTTATCTTTCTAATATTCTTCAGAACAGACATTGTGTCTTATATACATTGAAATTCTTCATATACTCTAGCCCGTGTCCTTTCTCATCATATTTACTGAATAATAATTTATTAAGCATCTACTGGGTGTCAGACCATGTGCTGGTTTCTATGGACACAAAGATAACGAACACATATTCCTTATCCTCAAGAACTTCACAATCTGGTAGATACTTAATATTTGAGCAGTTCATTCATTTTGGCTTAGGTAATATCCTTGGTGGAAAGATGAAGTGATACGAACTGGATGCAAGAAGAATTAGTTAAGAAGCTAACAAGCTAAATCACCATATTCAAAGGGCACTGAACAATCAGTGTGCTGATGCCAGTCTTAAGGTAGGTTTCCAGGGCCACAAGACTGGTCCTTCACCTTTCAACATCCTTGGCCTGTTCTATATCATCTTCAATGATTTGGATGAAGATCTGTAGAGCATGCCTATCCAGTTTGTGGTATACATATATAGTTAGTTCCTCGAATTATTAAATTAGGGTTCAAAAGGAACTTCTTAGGTTGAAATGATGAACTGCATCTAGGATAGTGAAATTTCACAGGATGAAATATAGACGCCTGGGTTTGAATGTCCCCAACCAATTTTGTGAGGGTAGACTAGGAAAATGTGTTATATTGAGTATATTTAATGTGAGTGTGTGAGAGTGTGTGTGTGTGTGTGTGTGTGTGTGTATCTTAGCCCAGTATCCAGAATAGATGTGCTGCAATAGAAAACAAAGTGTTGAACCAAGTTGCAGATGTCACACTTTTTAAGGAGAGATATGGTCTCATAAGAGTACATGTAGGAAACGGAAACCAGATATACACAAAAGGACTCCAAATTATATCATTAAGAGGAGGGATGGGAAGAACTGAGGTCGTTTGCCTGAGGAAGAAAGGAAACAGGGAACACAGGCATTGTCTTCAGTTATTTGGAGGGCTGTGGAAGAGGGATAAAAGTTGCTCTGTATAAGTCAAAAAATATGTTGGGAAATTCAAGAAGACACATTTTAGCTCACTACAAGAATGACCTTTTCCAGTTGCTGTCTCAATAGACAGTCTTGGGACATGGTAAGTGTGGAAGAAGGAATTGAGGGAAACCTCCAATTTGCTATTGTCTCCTCTCTGCCATCCTTTTAACTACTACACAAGGTAAACACTCTACCTCTGTTTCAAGAGTGCTGTAGAGATTTCCTTTATGAGTTTTGTGTAACAATTATATATTAAGAAGATATTTGTATTATTCAGAATACATGAGAGCACATATATAAAAATGTCACCTCTATAAACCCCATTGGAAGATGCCATTAGAATGGCCATTAGCTGAGTATATTATGAAAGTGAAGTTGGAGTTAAGACCTGAGAGAAAGTGTTCTGTAATTCTCCACAGAGAAGTAGAGAACTAGGAAGGGAGGGCATTGGCCTCACACAGCCAAGGCCCCCATGCAAGAAGACCTTGTGGCTGCCCTACTCCTGTAAAAGGGAATTTTTTTTCACCAACACACTGAAGTGACCACACAATCAAGGTCTAGAGGAATACAAAAGAGGAGCAGCAACAACAAAGGGTGCTTAGAGAACTTTAAGCTCCAGTCTTTACTTTGCTGAGTTAACCTCAGAATAAAAAACAACCTGCTACCAAGGAAAAGTTTAGAGACCATGATTGACGGATGGAGATTCTGTTAGAACTGCAATTCAGTAAGTTCCCAGACATCGGAGGTATGCAAAGCATGAGAAGGGTTACATGGGGAGCTTGCAGAGGGGACGGGACTCCAACATCAGACAGGGACTGACCTTTAAGCCTCTTTCCAGTTCTGGAATTCTAGGCATTTGAATGCCTTCTGCTGTAGTGTATATTCTTCTTGCCTAGTTCTAGATGGATGTCTCAGTATGTCTGAGTAGGAATTTTTAAATGCTTTGCCAAGAAAAGAAAGGTCCTCTCATTCACTCACAAAAGCCTCAACATATGCCTGAATCACACCAAAGTGGGCAGCATTTTGTGATAATTGTGGGGAGTGCAAAGAACAGTGCAGATAAGCTTCACGCTTATATGCCCACAGGTGTGTGCATGTGTGCATTCATGCAAGTGTGAGCCCATGCACTCAGCAACACATGCTCTGCTAAAACATGTCATCGGCTAGAGGGGGTTCTCCCACCGAGCCAACACAACTTTGTTATGGAACACATTGGCATTGACAGGGTTTCATCCCACCACTAAGCCATAATCTGTTTGGCAGGCATGAGGGGTGTCACAAAACCTCAAGGTTAATTGGGAGCAAGGCAGTAAACACCAGCTTCTCCCAGGGCATTCTTCATGCTTAGAAGCTGTCTGAAGACAAAATCTACTTCAATGTTGGTAGACCAAATTGTTTTTTGAACTATCAAAAGTGAAGAAAAGCAACGACAATTTTACCAAGATTCTGAGGAAAGTACACAAAGTCTTTCATTTAAAAATATTGAAGAGAATACCAGGAGTTGGAGGCAAATCCCCTATTTTTCTAAGAAATATTCACAAACAGGAGGGAAACTCGTCATCGGGGAGCCACACACAGGCATTTCAGACCACCCTGAAATCGCTTCACATTCTGACATTTATAGGGTATCCTTGCTCCCGAGGTTTGTTATACCCTTAATATTCAAACACACACAACTTTTATGGGTACAGGATTGACATCTTCAGCTAAACAGGAGACAGTCCACATGCCAAGGGTCAAGAAATAATAAGAGTTGCATCCTTAAGATCTCTTCAATTCAAACTACAACTTTACTTCAATACAAAAACATTAAGACGGGAAAAAAAAGGAAGAGTTAGATAAGAGATAGAAAGCATAGGTGGCATCAGAAATGCATTAAACACAAGGAACAATTTGTGGCAAAACAAATGTGAAGGAGAACAGTAACTAAGGAACTAGCAAATGTTAAACAGAATGAAAATTAACTCAGGACCAAGGGGGAAATGCTTCAACATGAAAAAATGAACAACATAGATGGAAATGGGGAAATTTAAAACAGTAGAGCCTCGAAAAGATAAAGGATAGACAATACACGAAAGGAAAGTAGTTGAAAAGAAATAGGGAAGAACAAAATTATTTTTAAAGTAAAAAGAAATGTAGAATCTATTATAATCAATGATGCTGTCTTTGCCCCTAAGAGCTCAAACAAAGGAAGAAGAGATGCCCATAATTATTATTTATTCATGCCCCTTGCTTCAGTGGGGTTCTCCTGGCAAAATTCCAGCAGCTTTGCCATTTTAAAGAATAGGGACTTTAGAATGTAGCTGCTCTGAGGATTTGGTCCTATAATCTCCTTTAATGTTTCTTTTGCATCAAAAGGTCACTCTCAATTCAGACATTTATGAAATTGAAATTAGTCCAAGGTCCCTTGGAGATCTGAAGTCCTGGCAGACAGGGGATGCCCATGATGGAGATCACACCTTGGATGTAAAGAAATCCTTCAAAGTGCCATTTTGTTATCTTCAAGGGTTTAATAATCACTCATCCACACCAGGCCTACCTCTTCCATCAGACTGTATATATCCTGCCACAAACCAAATTTTCAGTAGTAAACCATAATGATTGATTTAAATAAAACAGCACTCCACTACATATGGTCATGGAGGAGGGAGGAGGAAGTGTCAGGCTCTGTACTACAATCTTAAGGGACATTATTTGTAATTTCCCAGTAACTCATGATGTCTCTGCCCCACAACTCTCTGCTCCATGACAAGTCCCATTTGTCCCATTTATTGAGCCTCCACCAGGTCCCAGGTCCTTTATATATATAATCTTGGATAATTATTCCAATGCTATGAGATGGAATTAATGTCCCCACCTTATGTCTGAGGAAACTGAGTCTTGGGAGTTTTGATTTCACCAAGGATGTACAACTAGGAAGCGTCAGAGATGGGCTCTAAACTGGGTCTGATTGATGGCAAAGCACACACTCTCAATTCCACCACATTGGCCAGATCATTAAGTTATTTTAACCATATTTTCAGTCTGCTCTAGGCTAAATTAGACTAGGTTATTTCCACCAGTTCCAGGTATTTCACTCTTACTCCTGCTGTCCTATGTCAAGCACAGGGCTAGAGCCAGAAAGGTGAATAAGAAAGTTTCAGCCTTTTAAGAAGCGTAAATTACCATGTAGTGAAGAAGGCAGACACACAGGCAGAATGAAGGGTCGCAGCCTACTAGGGCTCCTGAAAAGACTTTCTGGTCCTCCTGAAACTAATTCCCATTGGCCCACTTAAAGTTAATAAAAATTATGTTTGTTTGTTTGTTTTAATTTAAAAAATTATTTTCCAGGGAAATATTAAGGCTAAGCCAGTCTTCCCAGAACTAGCCCCATCCCATATAACCAAGTTGAACCTGTAAACTCTTTTCCCAGGACCCCTGGCCACGTTTCATGTGGTTCACTACACTGATGAAGCTGAAAATTTGCCAGTCTACCTTTCAGTGATGAGCACCACAGAAGCGTGGTTACCTCTCAGAAATGGAGGCAACAGCAAGGCCATTGGATGCAGTCTTTATTTGTCCAGGTGGCCATAATTTCAACACTGCAAATCAGCCTTGCTGCTGTTTCATTCCCATTCCAGTTACTCTGTGTTCCCCCACAACATGTCCCTGGCCACGGCCAACCTTACACAGGGGTGAAGCAGGTGGCCACCACATAAGTTAAAACAAGTGGTGCCAGCAAGATCCCTTACTCCAAAAATACCTCTCTCACTGGCTCATTTCAGTGTCTAAAATGCTATCATTTTAGAGGGACAAGGGAGGAATCTTTTATTGACCTTTATTACAAAAATAATAAATACACACTGAAAAAGAGATTTAAAAATACAGAAATCTATGGAATAAAGGATGCAAGTTTACTTCATCATCTTTTCACCCTCAACCCTTAGGCATTTTCTGAGATAATTATTATCAACAGATTACAGCGTATTCTCTAAAGTATTTTTCTATGAATTGAAATAGGTAGCAAATTTGTTTTAAGGTGTGCAGCCCCCTATTGGTGGGCATTTCATTTGTTTGTGATTTTTTACTCTTACAAAAAAAGTTGCAATTGATATTCTAGCACACATATATTTGGGCACATGTAGAAAGATTTCTGAAAGACACTTTCTTAAAAATGGAATTGCTGGGTAGAAGGGTATGTGCATTTTAGATGTTCATAGAGACTTACAGAAATTCTATAAAGCAAGAGTAGAAAGCAGAGGACTGAGTTATAGTGAGTACACTGGACATTGACCATAACATGAAGCCTACATCACTTCAGCCTCAGTGCTGAATGAAAAATATCTTAGCACACATACATAGGTATATGTCATTCATTCAAACATCACTGGGTATATGTCTCCTGGAAACAAACAACAGTTGATAATTGCTGCTTTAAGCCATTATTGACCATGTGAGAGTAGGTCTTTGACATAGTGCATCATAGGAAGTAAGAATTAATGGAAGAGAATGTGGGGCCATTGAGGTGGGTGACCATAGAGGTCTGGGTACTGCAAACCAGGTCCTGGAGGTGGGCACTGAGAGAGGAGAGAGAGATGTTGACAGGCAAATGTGAAGGTGATGGAGACAACCACAACCCATTTACAGGTATTTCTAGAGCCAACTGTTCAAAGCTTCCTCTGACAGAGACATCCGCACAAGATAGTGAGTTGGGAGAAGGAGACTTATACTGGAGGGGCTGAAATTCCATTGCCATTGGAGGATAAGGTAAAAGTTTGAAACAGTTGTCTCACACTTATGAAAATACTTAGTAAAGTTCTTGACCTCAATGTTTTCTTCCTTCCCTCTCCTCCAAGCTTTCTGAAAGAGCTGCTGTAAGAAATACAACAAACAGACACTCGAAGTCACCATCATTCCTTGTCTCTCTGGCTTGATAGCCACTATCAAGCTTTTTGGCTTCATCTCCAGCTACTCTCCCCATTCTAGTATGTTCTGTACATCAATTTCAATTTTTATTTCCATTTCTGGACCTTGACACATACTGTTCCCTCTATCAGGAATGCTCTTCTGCCAACCTTTTATCCATCTTCTCTGGGCCAACTCCTAGCTTCCTTCAGGTCTAAACTTCAACACCGGTCTTCTAGGATTCTCTTCTGACCCCATCTCTACATTTCCCCCTGGATAGCTAGTTCCTCCCATTAAATGTTTTTTAGAGCATTCTGCCCCATCTACCCCAATGGTGATCACATAACTTTACATAATTGCTTATTTAATGCATGTGTCTAGACAAAAGAACCATGAGAGAGGAAATAATTCTACCTTGGGCACCAATGTATCTGCAGCATGGTATAGTACCTAGCACACAATAGGTACACTGTAAATGTAGAAGGAATGATCAAATGTATGGATGGATACATGGACAGCTTAAAAGCAGCCATCAAGAGAGATGAGAAGTTAGCCCAAAGGATTTTAAGAATCCAAAACCAGGAAAATCAATTTCTGAATGATTAGGAGTTTGCTATAGTCTCAACCTATTTTGGTAAATATTTATGCATAAGAACATTCAGAACTCACCACGATATAAGTGAATCACTGGAAATAACAAAGCGCTGCTTGTAGAGCCACATAAAATATTTTTAAATTAAGGATCCTATAATTCACACATGTATTGATCAAAAAGTATAAATAAATTTAAATGTAAACATATTTAATAAAATATATTAAAGGTATGGTGAAAGCAGCTTTGTCCTTCAATAGAATTTATAACTAAAACTGAAGAAATAGTTTTGTGACAATAAAGCATTCAAATATTTTTGGATCTTGAATGTATTAGAGCAGTAGAATTATTTCAAACAGATTAAATCATAGCTTTCTATTTGCAAGAGAATTAGCTTTAATATTCCTGAAATGACACAGTCTTCATTTGATACTTATTATTCAAGTTAAGAATTATCTTCATTTTCAACTCTTGAAGCTTATTTAACAAAAAAACATTTTATCTAAGGTGCCCAACAGATTAATTGTAAATAAAACGTTGCCTCTCTAATAAATATGTAATTAGCACCACCACCCTTGTTAAACATGTATACTATATTATTTATCTTAAAAGTTGGAATTATTCCAAAACTCTCCATGTAATTACATAATTAGGTGGTTTTTTTAAATGAGGATCATGTACTCAAACAGAAAATGTCTGTTTTATCATGCCAATATATAACCAAACCGTAGACATTCCAATAAAATTCTGGCCAAAACTCATATTAAATGTACTGAAAACACACAGGAGATGCCATTTAGGTTTAGGCTAATGGGAATCTGGTAAACATTACATCAACTATCTTTACTAGCAAAAAGACTCACTAGCAAAAAGACTTATTTATTGGATAAATCAAAAGCATTATGCAGTTGGTGATGAAGTAAAAATAAATCTCTTCTCAAAAGCATAAAAATATCAGATCGATCTAGAATACTTATATTTATTTTAGAGTTTGGTTTAGCCTTTGAAAGTATATTCTAATAACATGAAGGTAGAGCACTCTATTTCAAGCTGAAATTAATTTTCAAGCATCAATGATTTGATTATTCATAATATTTTTATAAAAGTAGAGTTCATCATATCCAGACAAAGATTTCTTTGTAGATGAATTTTCACTTATCTTACCAAAGATGGTCCCATCAAAACAAATTCACCCTTTGAGTTAGAATTATAGATGGATATCAATTTGGTTTATTTGCCAAGGACTAAATAAAAAAGCAATTCAGAGTCTTTACCATTATCTTTTTAAAAACCAGGTCAAAACATTATTTTTGTGAGCCACAAGAATGACTGAGTCTTACAAGATTTAAAATCTATTAGGGAATGTACTACTGAGAAATCCATTTGTTTTCATAAAGAGTAGAAACAAAGCACCAGGCTAACAATAGATATCTTTTAATCTAAATGACAGTCCATATGCTGTTGTCTTCTCTGGTTTAAATATGTTCCATGTTCTTTTCACCCTAAACTCATTTGGCTTGAATGGTTGATCAAAGAAAGTTATGCATGAGAGACCATTCTATTCAGGAACGAGGGTCTGTCATGCCCTGAAACATCCTTGTGATTTATAATATATGAACTCTGTGTGAAAAAAGGTAAATAAACTAAAGCAATTTGAAAATAGAGAGAAAACATGCTGTGTATACAATTTATTGGTCACACAGCCATGGATATTATATTCTACTTCCATTTTGATATCTAAAAACATTTGGATGACATGGGAAGAAAACTGCTAAATATACATAACAGTACACACACACAGCAAATATAATATAATCACTCTGGAGAAATAATTTTTCTGCTTATATACCTTTTAAAACTGAATTTGATACTTTCAAGTTCTCATTGGTGTAATTAAGTAAGCTTGTTCTTTGTTGATACTTTCCTTTTTAACTTTGATTGCTGCAAGCAATTTGCAGTTCAGCAAGAACTTGAAGCCAAAATATTCTCTGATAAAGCAGGAAATGATTTAAACCACACCAATAATAAGTAGAGAGAAAGAGAAAAAAAAAAGAGAGAAGACAGCAGTTTAGTTTAGGCTACTCTTCTACATCAGATTAAAATAATAGGCCACTCCTCTCTTTTGAAGGAAAAATGATAGAGTGCTAAGCAAAGGGCAATAGAAATTACTGGAATAATTTTGCAGGTCCTCCTAAGCCAGGGTTGCATACTGACTTAAAGGTTGTTTTCTGAAAATTTTTAAATGAGAACTCAGATGTCATAGTCATAAGTAAATGTCAAATTTTATTTCAAGCCAAATAAAAATAAATTATTTTTGAACTGCTTGTAATTTGGGATAACTCTGTACACTCTCCCTTTGCATTACTATGGAAGATCGTGTCATTTCGGATAGTAAATGAAAATTCATTATGAATGCCTGTAACAAACTTAAAGCATTGCAAGTTTTGCACATATTAAAAAAATCAGGAAATTGTCTCCAAAATTTAAATGTTCAATCATTCTCATGAGTTGATTCACATTTTTTCAAAGAAGATATAATTTAAAAATGAAACAGGCTGAAAAAAATAATTTTACAAAGTTGGATAAACAGAAAATGAAAGAAAAATAAGATGAAACCAGTATCAAGAGTAATGCATGCTGTGAATCATGGAAGGTCTTATGTAGTTTTGAGAACCATACTGTGAATTTGACTCTGAGCTTCCTAGCATCCAAAGCAAAGTTGCATCAGCTGAAATTTACCCAGCTATTCAGGAGGATATATTTTCCAAATTCCAAAAAATATTCCTTCCCTGATCCTCATAAAGGGACATTATGGGACATAGTAAAATCATAATGTCACAAAAGTCCCATTATGTCAACATTTTCAACAAGAGCCAATGTTACAATGTCAAAGTGCAAGTTTATATCATCCTAGTAGTAACTTTGTTATTAATTGGATTGACTTAAAAATTAATTGTCAACTATCAAGAATTAATAGATTGTATATCTTTTAGGAAACGCTTATAATCTCACAAACAAATGTCTTAAAAACAGGAAAGAGACAGCACAAAGTTACATTCCCTAGGTGAAATCTGAAGTATAGGCATTTTCTGTGCCAATTAAAAGAAAATCTATGTGCTTTGACAATTATCCAGAGTAGATATAATTTCTATCATTCTCCAAAGGAAAAAAAATAAAATGAAGGCTCTTGTCCCAGATGTACGGAATAAATGACCACACAACTTCAACAAGTGGCATCTGGCCTTATTGGATCAATTCTTAAAGATTTGCATTAGGTATTCTGATATTGCAACCTAATATACCCACCATGCAAAGGAAACCAGGTCAGATAATTTGCATCTGCAGATGTGCAAAAAACAACAACAACAACAACAACAACAAAACCAAACATGATTTTTTTTTTAATGGCCTTTCTTACTTCCCAATGTGGCACTTTTTTCTTCCATGTTTCCTAGGCATTCAGGCCTTGCTGATCATAGCATTTATCACACAGTATTACAAATGCCTGTTCACTTCTCTATTTGCACCCCAAGCAGGAACTATGTCTACCTTCTTCACTTTATATCCTCAGTGCTTGCCACAGTGTCTGGCCCATTGCAGGCACTCAGTAAATACCTGTCAAATGAATGAATGAATTCCTCTAGGATTAGAGCAAAATAATGTAATGATGCATAACAGGGGTTCAATAAATGCTTCAAGTTTTCAACAATAGAGATACAGATAAGTTTTAGATACAATGCTTACCAAAAGTCTGGGAGGAGGAAAGCAGAGTTATCACCAAATACTTCATGTCTTTAATGAGTGTTTTGACTGAAAGTCTGTCATTTCAGTATTGGGCAAAGCTTTGGATTCAGACCTTCGTTTCCAAATCTGGGTCAGTCACTAAGGAGCAAAGCACTTAATCTAAGTTTGCATTTTCCCTTCTGTAAAATGTGAATAATATTAGTAGCTACTTATTGGATTATTTTATGAGAAATAAGTGAGATGATGCATGTATAATGTGTGGCACACAGCACATCCTTAATGAATGTCTATTATTGTTGCCTGGGTTCCATTTCAGCAAGCTTCCACTACTTCTATAGCTTCTCAGACTGTACTTTTCTCTCCGGCAATCTCTGGACCAAGTGTATCATGACAATCTAATCAGTAGCCATGAATGCCGAGATGGTCCGAAGAAATAAGTCTGTAGTTCTTGGAAGTGGGAGCTTTTATGTTTGAATAAGGAAAAAAAAAAACTAAAGAGATAAAAGTGGCTGACGTTCAGCTCAGAAAGATGAAGTAAGAGTAAAAAACAGTTATAGAAATTTTAAAAGGATAGACCCCAGAAATTTTCTCTCCACATTAGAGTCTTCCACAGAATAATTTTGTCTCTTGTTCTTTGTTTCTCTCCTTTAAGTATACACAGAAAATGAAACTGTCTATTTTTTTAAAAACCGTGCACCCACACATAAGTGGTATTTATGTACAAAATTCACTCCACAGATGTATTCACTGTCTTTATTTTTTTTAAAAAAGAGTAACTTTTAACTTCCTTAAAAGTTAGAGCATAGCATTTTCAGTATTAATAAATTTCTAGCTTGAATAACTAATTTTGTCCATTCAATATTATCAGAAATGTACTTACTCCAGAAAGTAAGACACACCTGAATTATTTGATCCCTGTTCTGCTTATTATCAGTTATAAAATCTGTCTCATACTGCTGCAACAAAGTGTTTCTGAATGAAGCCAAATGTCCCAGAACATATGCTGGATCGAGAGCTTGTGATTAAATTTAAAATGCAGACTCAATATCCCCAGTATGCTGAGGAAGGGTACCATGTTAAGTGGTTCTGGGTTACTTGAGGGCAGAAGCAATGACTAATTTCACAGGATCCAGCATGATGCCTACCATGTAGTTGGTCCTCAATATATAACTGATATTTTACTAAACTGCAAATCAGAACAATGGAACTAAAAAATTAGAAATAAATTCAGGAATTACCTAGTCCAAACCCCTCATTTTATAGAGGGAGAAGCTAAAATTATTGTATGAAGTGACTTGCCTAAACTTATGTAACTCATTAGTTTGCAGGATTAGGTGTGGTAGGCAGCTCTCTAAGGTCCTTGCCTTCTGGTATTCATGCCCTTGTGTGATCTCCTCCCAGGTATGGCCTGAACCTAGTAATTTGTTTCTAACAATAAAATACTGTAAAAGTGAGGGGATGTCCCTACTGAGATTAGGCTGCCAAAATATTGTCTTCTATCTTACTCATTCTCTCTTGCTCACCTCTCTTGTTCTGTCACCTGACTCTGATGGAAGCCAGCTGCCATGTTGTGAGTTCCCTATGGAGAGACCTATATGGAAAGCAACTGATAGAGGCCTCTGTACAACAGCCAGTGAGAAACTGAGGCCTTCAATTCAACAGCCTGCAAGAAATTGAGAGTTGCTAACAATCGCATGAGTGAGTTTGGAAGCAGATCCTCCCTCAGTCAATCTTTCAGATGAGACCATCACCCTAACCAACACTTGGACTACAATTTCTTGAAAGACCATGAGAACAAGAACTCTGTTAAGCTATGTATGAATTCCTGACTGACAGAAACTGTGAGATCATAAATATTTTAAGTCACTTCACTTTACAGTAATTTGTTAAGCATCTATAGATGACTAAAGCATCAGGATTAGGACCCAAGTGTTTTTTCTGCCTCACCACAGACAACTTTGCTGATGGTGTTTTAAAAGCTAGTTTTGAGAACTATTTTCCTCATTACTTCCATTTTTCTGCATATTTTCTATTTATTTTGAAACCTCCTTTTTGTGACATCAATCTGTGTTTTACTACTAAGAGGGGTTTTTATTTCCTTTACTTCTGTTGGCAAAATTCAGGATAGGTTCTGTGCTCTCAATTATAGACACTGTAAGCAAGGCATGGTATGCCAAAATGTGTAACCAGGGACTCTTTTATTAGATACATATCGGATATATCTATTTTTAGAGCTCCATAAAGACTCAAATACGCTGAAAAACAAGAAATAGAAAAGACCTAACAGTTCACCCATGGGGTATATACCTCCTTCCTCATTTTCCCTAAATGCTGTATTACTCCCTTATGTTTTATCCAGACCTTGCATTTAGTCTGGTGGTTTGAGGCTTTCAGGTAGGGATTATGGGTTTCCTTTCATTGATTTGGTATCTAACCTTAGGCAAGTCAGTTAGCCTTGCTATAACTCTTTTCTTCTTCCTGTAAGTAAAAATAATATGTCTTGAGTAAGAAGTTAGAAATTCTTAGAGAAAAAATATTATTAAAAAATATTATTTGTCATGTTTATATAGAAAATTTAAAGAATTTTATCAAACAGCCGTTCTTGATTGTATTACTTCATATTTGCACAGAAAATGTGTGTACTCATGAAGTTTTACTATTACAGTCACATTTTATTACAAGATCAATAGATAATCACTACTAATTTTCTTGAAAAGATAATGAGCTTCTCTTGTCTCTATAGTCTATATACAGTTTACCAGTTTATGATGTAAAATACATAAAAGTAGAATTCATCACTGATGATAATGTACCAATAAATCATATCAAATAAGAAGTCAGGACATGAGATCATGATAGATTTTGTTAAAAATCTATCTAAATAACTTTTTATCAAAGTTATTCCAGGAAATATTTTAGCATATTATTTAGTATTAATAAATAACAGTAGCTTTAAAAAAATATATTGTTCAGATGAATTCCAGTGTGTCCTCCTCCCTGCATTCATTGTATTTTTTTTTGAAAAGTAAAGATGTAGGGAATAAATGAGGTTATGTTTCTGTGAAAGGATATAAGAAAATATTTTAATTACATTTTAAATACTTGAAACTAGTAAATCTTAAAAAGAACCAATTGGGTGATGTAATCAATGTATTGGATTACGATATATCTGATTACTTGGAATGTAATCACAATGCAATTTTATTTTGTCTCCCCCTACTCCTTTAAAATGTATTTAGTGGAAACAGTCTCTCCTCTGCTCTGATTCTCATGGCTTTTCTGACTCGTCTTGGGTAACAGAACATCTGATAGTCACCGTAAGTCAAAAATCAAGAAAAAGTGTCCATGCTCTAGTAATAAGCAAAACTTTATACTTGATTTAAATAAAATTTTTTTCTCTTTTCAGCTGGGGCCTGCTGTGGGCTTGTCATTTCCATGAGGAAAAAGATACGATTTCCCTCTTTCTTCTCACTTCATCCCAACTGACAGCTGTTTTTGTCCCAGCCAGGGGTGGAGGAAGGGAAAGTAGGAAAAGTAAAGACACCTCTAACCTGACTGGGACTGTTAGAGCTTGCCTTTTCGTGCTCTTGAGCTACAGCTTTCACAGTTGACTTTCTCTGCCAGGTGCTCCCAAGTTCTTTTAGTTTCCCTGAAGCCCAAGCCCCTGGTGCAGGCAGAGCACAGTGACTCTTTCAAGTGCTTGCTCCTGACATTCACTCTGTTTCATCCCCTACTGAGACACCCTCATCCCTTACTTCTGAAGACCAGCACCTAGAAATCTTCCCTACTGGGCAGGATCTCCTTCAAAACGGACTGACAATCTAGCTGAGTTTTGCATCTAGTCCCTGACATTCTCACATGTAACTTGCTATTAGAAGGTTGTGTTGGACACTCTCAGAAGTAGCCCTCACTCTGTGGTCACAGGCCCTAACACGAGTCAGGCTCCACTGTCCCCAGTGACTGCAGGGAATACATCCCACACTCTCCAAGTGTCCCATTGAAGTTCCCTCCCTAACTGTGGTAGGCAGGTAGAGGGAAAGATGTCCTACCCTTCCCTTTGTCAGAAGACCTCATAGCACATTTCCCTCTGCCTAAGTTTTTTATATGAAATCTTTCTCAATCAACTAAAACATTTTATTCCCCTGGGATGGATGCAGACCAAGAAATGTGAAGCCACTTTTAAGGTAGTTATTTAGAAGACATTGCACACTAACTTTGGAAAATCATATCAATTGTAACTTGCTTCTTCATCAAAATGTCCAACTTAATCTACCAGATGGTATGAGCTGAACTATCATGGAAAAGTTGAGTGGCTAACAAATAGATCCATGATCTATAAAACTCAGATGTTTTGACATGCCCTCAGACATTGAAAGCTGCTCTACTGACAAAGTGCACATTGAAAAAGACATAAGGTTACTGCACACTTCTCTGAGCCCATTAAAAGATAAACATAAAAATGTCCCCTTCTGACACTTAAAATACCAAAGTGCAGCCTAGGTCAAAGTCTTATGGCTAAGTTATAAATCTCAGAAAAACATTATGTTTGAAGCATTGACACAACCTTAAAAGAGGGCTGCTGAGTAGAGCAGTGGGGAAAAAAGAACACATCTCCAGGCATGTAAGACCAAACTCTGAAATGTGTCTGATAATAGGATTTTTAATTATAATGACTATTTCACAGGCATTTGGTGTTAGCAAACTCATTGCTGAGGAATATGTCATTTAGGACATCATTTTAAGGCTAGCTTAAGTATTCACAAATGGGTTCTTCAATGTTCCAGTTATCTGGAATATATGCTGCTGTGTGATACACTATCTCAAAACTCAGTGGTTTAGCACCACATTTATTCTGCAATCTAGGCTGGGCTCAGCTGGGTGGTTCTTCTAGTCTCACTTGGCATCACTCATGTGGCTGCAGTCATCTGGGATTACTGACTGTGCCTGGAAATCCAAAATGGTTTCATTCACATGTCTATCACTTTACCCAGATGGCTCAAACTGCTGAGAATGTGCTGACAACCTCTCTCTATCCACATGGGCTCTCAAGCAGGGTAGTCAGAACTCTTTACATAGTAGCCTAGGATTCCAAGAGAATGCATCTGGAAGCTGTCAGGCTTCTGAAAGCCTAGACACAGAACTGGTACATCCTCTTTCACTACCTCCTACTAGTTAATGCAAGTTAAAAATTCAGCTCATATTCAAGGAGGTGGGAAATAGACCTTATCTCTAGATGAGAAGAGCTAGAAAGAATGTGTGGCCCCCTTTAATTCACCACCTGGGGTTTGAAAGAAAATGGTATACTTTATTATCTCTGGAAAATGGTAACCATCAGTGTTGATGAATATTCTCTCTGAAATGCTAACCAACTGATGATTTCAAAAATTGATTTAGCAATATTTATAAATAAAAGGGAGAGAAACTTCATGCAAAGATATGGTGACATGTGTGAGGCCAAAGAAAAAAGGTGAAAGGCACACATAGGGTATATGCCAGAGAAGATAAAACCATGCATTTCCAGCTATCTCTAACTTTGCTTGTCTTATATATTCATCATGATCAAATATTATAATCTCTCACCCTAGTGACAATATGCCACTGGGTCCTTAATCATTAATTAATTTACCCTTCCATCCATATATTCATTTATTCTATACATATTTTAAGCGGGTTTTATATGACAGATATTGTGCTAGACCCCAGTGATATAAAAATGAACAATACACAGTCATTTTTTTCAAAACACTCAAAAATCTGTAATTACAACAAAGGAGTGATGTAACAAAGAGAGCTGTTAGCTCAGCCTCTGCAGGGCATGGTGTTAGATTAGATTCCTAGAGAGAACATGAGTCAATCCTGAGAGATGAGTAGGAGCTTACTGGGTACACAAAACTTATACAAAGTAATGAAGGCAATAAACAATTTTAGTACCCAGAAAAATGAGAGTAGTTCAGTAGGTACACGGATAGTATGTGTACGAAATAAATTGTTGAAAAAGCTAGAGATATAAGCAGGACTTCATATGTCATTCTAAGGATACTGTATTTTAACCAGTGTAGATAAGGAGACACTTAAGTAAAAGAATTTCTAAGTAACTCTTATTTAAATCATGGTTTCTTTCTTTCTTCCATGCACTATTAGTTCTAGGGTCTCCCTATAACGAATAGCACTACAAACAGTTAACATATTACATGGTACTTAATAATATCATTTAATTATTGCTATTTAAAATCTTTTCCTAAATTTGTTTTTTACATGATGGGGATGCTATAAATATTTATGTGCAATGGCCTAGTGTGTGTGCTTTTCTGGAGGCAGTGTTAGGATTATTAATATCCCACAAAGAACCTGAATTGGTGCAATGGAGGTTAATTTAAAAAGTGGAAGAAGCAGACAAAATTGAGAGAAAAAGGAAATGTAACATGTCTTAATGTCAAAAACATAAAAATCAAATTATTTGTTCTGCTCAATGAAATAAACAGACAGTTATTTGGCACCCCAGCAGAATAAACATTGTATGTGCAGTAGAGACAGTCAAGTGGTAATCAGGAGGGCAATGCATAAAGACCACAGTTCTATTTACGTTCATTAATATAGCCAAATATCCATCATCTACCAACTATCATTTGTAGACACTAGATACACAATGATAAATGAAATAGACCTCTTTCTGCTCTCTGGTACTTATCATTCTTCTCCCAATTAGTGTTTCATAGAAACCTCATGATTCATTGCCAATACCTGATTTTCTCACTAATAAAGTCAGAGAGGTGGAATGCAACTTTCCCTGGAAAACTTAAGAATTCATCAAAAGTTCATTGTTACCTGGCTTGGTTCCATTGTGATTTGGATTTTCACATTGTAACTGGATGGAGTTTCTTAAGAATGGAAGGCAATAACTTGATTGAAATTCAGTGGAGCCAAGAAAACTCTATTGTTGAAGAGAAATGTGGAATAAGCTGGGGACTAGGGCTTCTTTTCTCTCTACAGAAGAAATTTCTAAGTGTTATTATGGACTTACATCTAAAGTGTACATGACAGGATGAATAGGATCTTTAGGGATGTACCACTCTCTAGCACACATTCTTCAATGGAAATTGAATACTACAATAGTTCTCAGTCTAAGAAATCCACTGCTTTCCACTGCAAATAGGATTTGGAGCTTAATTTCAATTTATTCTGTTTGAAACTCCCTGATTTAGGCTCAGCTCATTGCCAGAAACTGCCCAGTGATTAAAGGTTGATTTTAGGGTAATGGTTACAGATAATCTTCCATTCCTAACTGTGCAAACTGCAGAACTTCAAAGTTGGAAGGTCCATTTTGATGCTTTTTAGATACAGACCTTGGAGATACGCTATTTGTTTACTGAGAGCTTGAAACTGACAGCATTGATAAATGGAATATATTGAAGGACAAAGATGACCCTGAAAAAACCACACCCCTGGCCCTTCATGTACATATGAAGATTTGAGGCTCACAGGTTTCCCTCAAAATGCTTCAGAATTCTCACCTCTAGGCTTCTCTTTTGCTCTGGGTTACCCCATTCTGTCTGGACAGTGGTGTATTTGGCCACTTCCCCACCAAGCATTAAATATTAATCAACTATTCATTTTAGAGAGCTATGGAATACAATGAGAATTTAATTATGAGAAATTAAATTTGCTAACATCAATTAAAATAAGCCTTTCAAAAGACATTTTATTAGAGTTTCATTTCCAGTCCTGAACTCTTTAATCTGGCTCATTTAGTATAAGACTCCATGCTGGAAGCCAAACTTGTAATTGGAAGTAAGATGGGCTTTTCAATTTAAGTCTCCCTCCTTCCTCTTTTTTTTTATTACAGCCAAATGCAACATGCTGTTTTAAGATTCTGTGGATTATAAACATTTATATCCAATCCCCTTTTAAAATTATTATTTTCCAGACTTTAAGAGGCTAGACCTATTAAAAAGTTTAAAATTTCCTAAGTCTTAGTTTAGGAGGAAGAGCAAAAATGGTTTCTACTATTCAACCTTTTGCATGTACAAATTCAAGGTTTTGTTTTTACAGAAGAACCTTTTTCCAAATTTATTTCCAGCTACTTTTGTTTTCCTTGAGGGACCTTTGAAACACTATATTGCTACTTTTCATGTTTTTTATTTGCCCTCTGCAACAATAAAAGCTCAAAGGTTCATAAATATGCATTCTGTAAATGTATTATGCTGACAAAGTGTTGCTCAGATAGCTGTTTTTGCCTTTGGGGAATGAATAAGTTTACAACATGCTTAAACAACGTTGTAAGGTGGAAAGAGAGAAAAGAAAAAAGGAGGAGAGCAGAGGAAACAGGAAGGGGAAAAAGATAGAAAATTGAAGGTAAACAAAAAGTATCAGAAAGAAATGGGGAACATTTAAGAACTACATCTACAAACTAGGGAAAGAAAGAACCCAGAGTTGAAGAACGCAAAAGGAAATAGAAACAAAAATCAGCCATATTTTATCAATGTTTATTATGTCAACAAAGATAAAGAGATCCGTTTTTCTACCAAAGATTCAAAGTTATTTTTTCCCCTCAAAGTGGTTTGAACTGAGCAGTATGCAATACTTATATTCTATGTCATGCTTTTTTAAAAAAAAATATTTGAACACAAGGTTTTTGTCCTTATTAATTCTAATTCCCTCTGGACTTAATCTAGTTCTGCTTCACTCAACTCAAATTAGATAAACCATAGGTCTGATGAGTATCAATATGCAAGGAATGGAAAGAATAACACATTTCAATGACAGTGAAAACCCATAAACATAAATCTCTAGTGAACTGTGTTAATGAGCATAAATGCAGATATTAGTGAACTAAAGTTCTGATGTGGAGTAAGTTTGTCAGGTGTAGAAATGATTATTGGTTAACCTTATGTTAACAGTTTCCTTCCTCCTGAGAAATTAACTGTGGAATTCAGAAAAATTCTACATTTTTATATGGAAATTAATGTTCTATACCAAAATTAATAAAAATTGAAAATAGAAGGAAACAAAACACATTTGTAACTTGAAGGAAAAAATTCCAAGAAATCATAAAATCACTGAGAATGAAACTGCCAAAATATTTGAGATAATAAGATTCATTGGGTGGGTGGTCTTTGGTCCATCAGTAATTATTACTGATTATGCCACAGATAATTTTGTTACTGATCAGTGAAAATATTGAAAAGCAATGAACTACTCTTGAGTTGGACTTTTTAAACAAATGATCAGTTTATGTAAAAGTTGTTTACCCTCAGAATTAACAGTCTATGATTTATTTACTACACACCTTACTCCTTCATG